>NC_000007.14:118264354-118567385 GCF_000001405.40 Homo sapiens | reverse complement strand
AGGAGTTCAAGATCAGACTGGGCAACACAGTAAGACCCTAACTCTATAAAAATTTTTAAAAATACCCAAGCATGGTGGCTCACACCTATGGTCCCAGCTACTCAGGAGGATGAGGTGGGAGGATCACTTGAGCCCATGAGGTAGAGGCTGCAGTGAGCCATGATGGTGACACTGCACTCCAGTCTGGGAGAGAGTGAGACCCTGTCTCAAACAAACAAACAGAAAGAATCACCATTTTAAGTGTACAGTTTAATGATTTTAGTAACAGTCATACAACCATTACCAGAATCCAGTTTCAGAATTGTATCCAACTGTGGCCAACTCCTGCTCCAATCCTAAGTGCCAAGCAACCTCTGATCTGTTCTTTTTGTATAGATTTGCCTTTTCTGGGCATTTCATATAAATGAAATTATAAAAATATGTAGTTTCCTGTTTCTGCTTTCTTTCACTAGCATAATGTTTTCACATTCATATTGTAGCATGTATCAGAAGTTTATTCTTTTTGTCATTGCTATATAGTACTCCATTGTATGATAGATCACATTTTATTTATCTGTTTAGGTGTTTCAATTGTTTCCAGTTTGGGGCTATTATAAATAATGCTATTTTGAACATTCATGTATATGTCTTTGTATGAAAATATTCTAATATACATTATTATGTATAATATTATGTATAATAATAGTATAATTATTAGAATATTTAGAATATTTCATACATGAAATATTTCATACATGAAATTATGGGTAGATTCCTAAGGGTAGAATTGCTTGTTGTATGATAAGCTTATATTTAACTTTCATGAAACAAATAAATTTTTTTCCAAACTAGCTGGACATTTTAAATTTTTATCAGCAAAATGTGAGACTTCCTGTTTCCCCATATCTTCAACAACACTTGTCTTACTGATTATATCAATTTTAGTGGGTGAAGTAGAATCTTACAGGAGTCTTAATTTATATTTCCCTTTTTACTAATGTTCAGCATTTTTCATGTGCTCATTAGTCATTCTTATATCTCTTTGGTGAAAATTCTATAAAAATACTTTGCCTATTTTTAATTTGGGTTGTTTATCTTATTATTGAGGTGCAAAGATTCCTTATATAATATCCTGGATAAAATCCCCTTATAAGATGCATAATTTGAAAATATTTTCTCTCACCTTGGAACTGGTCTTTTCATTTTTTAAGTATACTATTGAAGTACAAATGTTTATAAATTTTATGAAGCCCAATTTATTGATATTTTTTGTTATAGATGATGCTAAAATATCTTTGCCTAATCCAAGGTTACAATAATTTTCTGCTATTGTTTCTTCTAAATATTTTATAGTTTTAGCCCCTACATTTAGACTATGATTCTTTCTGGGTTAATTTCATGTATGACAGCATGTAAGAGGCTATATCCAGCTTTGTGCCAATGGATATCCAATTACTTCATCACCATTTGTTGAAAAGCCTATCATTGATTGAAAATGAATGCATCATAAATATGAGAGTTTCTTTCAGGATGCTTAATTCTTTCATTGACCTATATCAGTGGTTCTCCATTGGGAGTTACTTTTCTCCACAAAGGATATTTCTCAATATCTGATATGGTTTGGATGTTTGTCCCCTCCAAATATCATCTTGAAATGTGATTCTCATTGTTGGACATGAGGCCTGGTGGGAGGTGATTGAATCATCAGAGTGGGTCCCTCCTGAATGCTTTAGCCTCATCCTCTTGATGATAAGTGAATTCTTGCTCAGTTACTTCATGTGAGATCTGGTTGTTTAAAACAGTCTGGGACATCTTTCTTCTCTCTCGGTCCTGCTCTTGCCATGTGATATGCTGGCTCCCCTGAACCTACCAGTATGAATGCAAGCCTCCTGAGGCCATCACTAGGAGCCAATGACATGCTGGTACTCTGCATGTATGGCCTGCAAAGCCAGGAGCCAAGCTAAACCTCTTTTCTTTATAAATTACCCAGTCTCACGTATTTCTTTATAGCAACATGAAAATAGCCTAACACAATGTCTGAAGATTTTTTTTATTGTCATTACTTGGGGGTGAAGGCTAGTACCAAAGATGTTGTAAAACATCCTGCAAAGTACCACTTCTCAAAAAAAGAAGCGTTATATGCCACTGAATAAACATGTATATTTAATAATATGTACATTACATTATCCAACGGTAAAATATGCATAATCTAGTGTCAGTACACACTGTGTTGATAACCATCCCTTGTAATAAGCTTTGAAACTAAAGTATAATGTCTCTCAATTTTGTTATTATTTTCAAAATTGTTTTAGTTATTCTGGGTTTTTCTCATTTGCATATAAAATGTAGAGTCAGTTTATTTCTGAAAAAGGAAACAAAAGCCTATTGGGATTTTGATTAGTGTTGCATCAGATCATTTTTGAGAGAACTGCCATCTTAATAATATTGGATCTTTTAATCCATGAATATAGAATGTCTCTCCAGTTAATTACATTTTCATTTATTTTTCTCAGAAATGGTTTTGTCATTTTCATTAAGCTTTTCATTTATATTTTTATTTCTTTTTTTGATGCTATAGAAAATGAAATTGTTTTCATAATCTTGTTTACAGATGTTCATTTTCACTACATAAACAGACAGTTATGTATTGCTTAACCACAGAGACATATTCTAAGAAATGTGTTTTTAGGCAATTTCATCGTGGTGCAAACATCACAGAGTGTACTTAAACGAATCTATATGATTTGGCCTACTGCATACCTAGGATATATAGTATAGTGTATTGCTCCTGGACTACAAACCTGTACAGGCTGCTATTGTGCTGAATGCTGTCAACAATTATAACACAATAGTAAGTATGTATGTATCTAAACATATCTAAAAATAGAAAAGGTACAGTGAAAATGCAATATAAAGTATAAAAGAATGGTACACCTGGGCCGGGCGCAGTGGCTCACGCCTGTAATCCCAGCACTTTGGGAGGCCGAGGTGGGCAGATCACGATGTCAGGAGATCGAGACCCTCCTGGCTAACACGGTGAAACCCCATCTCTACTAAAAATGCAAAAAATTAGCCGGGCATGGTGGCGGGCACCTGCAGTCCCAGCTACTCGGGAGGCTGAGGCAGGAAAATGGCGTGAACCTGGGAGGCAGAGCTTGCAGTGAGCTGAGATCGCGCCACTGCACTCCAGCCTGAGGGACAAAGTGAGACTCCACCTCAAAAAAAAAAAAAAAAAGGTACACCTGTGTAAGCTACTTACTGTGTATGAAGCTTGCAGGAATGGAAGTGACTCTGGGTGAGTCAGTGAGTGAGTAGTGAGTCAATGTGAAGGCCCAGGACATTACTGTACACTGCTGTAGATTTTATAAACACTTCAACTGTCTTGTAATAATACGTAGCTTAAAACACAAACACATTGTACAGCTGAAAAAAATTTTCTTTACATCTTTATTACATAAACATTTTTCCATTTTCAATGTTTTAACTTTTTAAAAATTTTTGTTAAAAATTAAGACACCAGCATACACATTAGCTTAGGCCTACACAGGGTAAGAATCATCAATATCACCATCCCCTTGTCCCACTGGAAAGCCTTCAAGGGAAATAACATGCATGGAGGTGTCAACTCCTATAATAACAATGCCTTCTTCAGGAATACTTCCCAAAGGACCTGCCTGAGGCTGTCTTATAGTTAAGTTTTTTTTAATAAGTAGATGTTCACTCTAAATGATAAAAAGTATAGTAAACACTGTGTTAGCCTGTTTTATGCCACTAATAAAGACATACCCAAGACTTGAAAATTTACAAAAGAAAGAGATTTAATAGACTTATAGTGCCACATGGCTGGGGAGGCCTCACAATCATGGCAGAGGAGCAAGTCACGTCTTACATGGATGGCAGCAGGCAAAGAGAGAGAGAGAGCTTCTGCAGGGAAACTCCCATTATTAAAACCACCAGATCTCACGAGACTTATTCACTATCATGAGAACAGCATGGGAAAGACCCACCTGAATGATTCAATTATCTCCCCCCAGGACCCTCCTTCCTACAATACTTGGGAATTATGGGAGCTACAAGATGAGATTTGGGTGGGGACACAGAGCCAAACCATATCACTGTGTGTTAGGAAATTTCAGCTCCATTATAATTTTGTGGGACCACCATCATATATGTCATCTGTCACTGACCAAAAACATCATTATGTGGTCCATGATTATATAAATAAGTTTTATATATGAATGTTGTGTTTTGAAAATTTGTTGAATGTATATATTAGACCTAGTAGTATTTTTTCTGTATTTCTTATACTTTCTATGTACAAGATCATATTGATTGTAAATTAAGACAATTTTACTTTCTTTTCAAACTGCACATCTTTTTCTTTTAAAGTCATTGCATTTTATTTATTGTGTAAGAGCTTTATTGAAATATAATTCACATACCATCATATACATACTATTAAAGCATACATTTCAGTGCTGTTTGGCATATTCACAGAGCTGTGCAACCATCATCACTATCAAATTCCAGAACAGTTTTGTCACCCCAAGAAGAAACCCCATGCCTATTAACAGTCACTTCTCGCTTTCTCTCCCCTCAGCCCCTGGAAACCACTAATCTTCTTCCTGTCTCCATTCGTTTGCCTCTTTTGGTATATCATATAAATTTAATCACATAATATGTGGCCAATTCTGTCTGGCTTCTTTCAGTTAGCAAAATATTTTCAAGGTTTTTGCATGTTGTAACATACATCAGGAAACCAACGACTGAAGAACATTACATATATCTGTTTATTCATTCATCAGTTGATAAGCAATTGAGTTACTTGTTTATTATAAGTAATACTACTATGCATATTTGTGTACACATTTTTGTGTGGACATATGTTTTCCATTTTCTTGGGTATTTACCCAGGAGTAGAATTGCTGCATTACATGGTAATTCGGGCTTTAAATTTTTTAGGAATTGGCAAACTGTTTTAGTTTACCATTTTGCATTCTTACTATCAGTGTATTAGTATTCTAGTTTCTCCACATTCTTGCTGACGTTCATTACTGTCCATGTTGTTTTCATTATGGCCATCCTTGTGTATGTGAAGTGACATCTCACTGTGGTTCTGATTTGCACTTTCATAATGACTTATGATATTTAACATCTTTTAATCCCCTTATTGGTCATTTCTAGAATTTCTTTGGATAAATGTCTATTTGAATCCTTTCCCCCCTTTTTTTTTTGAGACAGAGTCTTGCTCTATCGCCCAGGCTGGAGTGCAGTGGTGCAATCTCCGCTCACTGCAACCTCCACCTCCCAGGTTCAAGCAATTCTCCTGCCTCAGCCTCCCGAGTAGCTGGGACTACAGGCACATGCCACCATGCCTGGCTAATTTTTTCTATTTTTAGTACAGACGGGGTTTCACCATGATATTGATGATCCTTACCCTGTGTAGACGTAAGCTAATGTGTATGCTGGTGTCTTAATTTTTAACAAAAAATTTTAAAAAGTTAAAACATTGAAAATAGAAAAATGTTTATGTAATAAAGATGTAAAGAAAATTTTTTTCAGCTGTACAATGTGTTTGTGTTTTAAGCTAAGTATTATTACAAGACAGTTGAAGTGTTTATAAAATCTACAGCAGTGTACAGTAATGTCCTGGGCCTTCACATTGACTCACTACTCACTCACTGACTCACCCAGAGCCACTTCCATTCCTGCAAGCTTCATTCACAGTAAGTAGCCTACACAGGTGTACTTTTTTTTTTTTTTTTTTTTTGAGATGGAGTCTTGCTCTGTCGCCCAGGCTAGACTGTAGTGGCGCAATCTCGGCTCACTGCAAGCTCCGCCTCCCAGGTTCATGCCATTCTCCTGCCTCAGCCTCCCGAGTAGCTGGGACCACAGGCACCTGCCACCACGCCTGGCTAATTTTTTGTATTTTTAGTAGAGACGGGGTTTCACCATGTTAGCCAGGAGGCTCTCGATCTCCTGACCTTGTGATCTGCCCACCTTGGCCTCCCAAAGTGCTGGGATTATGGGCATGAGCCACCACGCCCGGCCCCCATTTTTAAAATTAGGTTATTTGTATTTTTTATTACTGAGGCATGTCTTAGCTCAGTCTGTTATAACAAAATACTGCAAACAAGGTGGCTTACACAACAGAAATTTATTTCTTACAGTTCTAAAGATTGAAAAGTCCAAGGTCCTGGTCCTAGCATGGCCAGGTTTTGGTGCAGTCTCTGTTTCTGGCTTGTAAATAGCCACCTTCTTTTTGTATCCTCACATGTTAACAGAAATAGCAAACACCCTGGTATCTCTTCTTATAAGTGATTGAATAACATTACGAGAGTCTCACTCTTATGGCCAAATCTAACCCTCATTAATTCTGTATAGGCCCTATCTCCAAGTATATTCACATTGCATGTTAAGGCTTCAAAATATGAATTTTAAGGGGATGAAAACATTTAATTCCTAATGAGGTATGAGTTCTTAGTATATTCTGAATACAAGTCACATATCATATATATAATTTGTAAATATTTTCTCCTGTTCTGCATATGGCCATTTGTCCAATGGAATTCATTAAAGCACAAAGGTTTTTAATTGTCATTAAGTGCAATTCAACTTTTTTTGTACCTTGTGCTTTTGTCATCATATGTAAGAAAATACTGCCCAATAACCTAAATTCTGGAAGATTTACTCCTATAACTTCTTCTAAGAGTTTTATATATTTTTCTTTCATGTATGTGTATGATTTAAGTCAATTTTATATGAGTTACTTTTTTAGTTTACTTTTATATATGATGTAAGACATAGTACAATCTTGCTTTTTTGCAGGTAGATAACCAATTGTTACAACTCCATTTGTTGAAATGATTATTCTTTCCCATCTGATGAACCTTGACATTCTTGTCAAAAAATGGTTTACCATGGAGTCAAAGCAAGGGTTGATTCATGGACTCTGAATTCTATTCCATTGATCTATATGTATATTCCTATGCCAATAATATGTGATCTTGTTTATTATGGCTTTATAGTCAGTTTAGAAATAGAAAATATAAGCCCTTCAAATTTGTTCTTCTTTTTCAAGATTATCTGACTCTTCTGGATCATAGCATTTTCATATGAATTTTAATATCAGTATGTCAATTTCTGTAACAAAGCCAACTGGGATTTTGATAAAAATTGCATTGATTATGTAGATCAAGTTGATGAGCATTGCCATCTTGACATAATATTAAGTCTTCTGATGTATGAACACGAGATGTGTTTCTATTAATTTAGAAATTCATTAATTTCTTAAAGATGTTTTGTAGTCCACAGATGAAAGTCTTGCTCTTCTTATGTTAAATTAATAACTTTTATTTTTGATGCTACTATAAATGGATTTATAGTCTTAATTTACTCTCAGATTGTTTCTTGCCCGTATATGGAAATAAAATTTATTTTTGTATATTGATCCTACATCCTGTAACCTGATAAACTCATTTATTAGTTCTGATAGGTTTTTTTAGTGAATTTTCAAAGATTTTCTATATGCAAGACCATGTCTCTATGAATAGAGATTGTTTTATTTCTTGAAATCTGGATGCTTTTTGTTTATTGTTCTGGCATAATTGTTCTAGCTAGAACCTCCAATACAATGTTGAATACAATTGATAAGAAGAGACATCCTTGTCTTGTTTCTGATCTGAAGTAGAAAATTTTAAGTGTCTCAATATTCAGTACGGTGTTAGCTGTATGTTTTTTATAAATGTCTTATCAATTTAGAGAATTTGCCTTCTTGGTTTATTGAGTGTTATTATCATGAAAAATAATGGATTTTGTCAAATGCTTTCTCCACATCATTTGAGATTATCATATGAAGTTTCTGTGAAGCTGAAAATGTCTTAATTTCTCCTTCTTTTATGAAACATAGTTATGTAGATAATTCTTTTTTTACAATAGTTTGGTTTTAACATTTTTAGTATGTCATTCCAATGCCTTCTCGTTTCCATAGCTTCTGATCAGAAGTTAATGTTCATCTTATTGAAGACTTTTGTCCCTGATGAGTTGTTTCTCTTTTGCTGCTTTTAAGATCTATTGTTTTTGAATTTGACAGTTTGATTATAATATGTTTAAATTTGGACTTGCTTAAATCCATAGTACCTGAAGTTTTCTTTTATTTGTAGGTTAATATTTTTCTTCCATTAGGAAGCCATTGGTCATTATTTATTCAAATATTATTTTTATTTTATCTTTCTTCTCTCCTTCTGAGAGTCACATTATATATGTGTTAGCACAGTTATGATGTCCTTGTGGGTCTCTGAGGTTCTCCATTTTTGTTCATTCATTATTATTTTCATTTCTCAGACTGGATAATTTTGATTAGCCTGTTCTTAAGATCATAGTTTCTTCCTCCTGCCTGCTCAAATATACTTTTGAATCACTCAAGTAAAATTTTTAATTTCAATTATTTAACATTTTTACTTCAAAATTTCAATGTAGTTCTTTGTTTAGAATGACTTTTAACTTTTTTGCTATTGTTTATGTAATAAGACACCATTCTCATACAATCCTTTATGTATTTATTTATTTATTTATTTTATTTATTCATTTAAGACCGTGTCTTGTTGTGTCACCCAGGTTGGAGTGCAGGGGTGTGATCACAGCTCACTGAAGCCTCAACTTTACCAGGCTTAGGTGATCACCACAGCCTTCCAAGTAGCTGGAACTACAGGCATGTGCCACCGTGCCCAGATAATTTTTATTTTTTTTTTTGGAGAGATGGAGTTTTGTGATGATTTCCCAGGCTGGTCTCAAACCCCTGGGCTCAAGTGATCCACTCATCCCAGCTTCCCAAAGTGGTAGGAGTATATGTATGAGTCATCATGCCCAGCCAATCCTTTAGTTCTTTACACATGGTTTTGTTTAGTTGTTTGAACATATTTACAGTAGTTCATTTAAAGTATTTGTCTAGCAAATCTAATGTCTATACTTCCTCTGGTACAGTTTCTGTTAATCTTCCCTCCTACACACTACATGGGTATACATTCTGGTTTCTTTGCATGTCTTGAAAATCTTTGAAACTGAACACTTTCTATAACTTAATCTGACAACTCAGTATTAGACCACCCAGCCAGGGGTTGCCATTGTTGCTATTTGTTGTTGCCACTTGATGTTTGTTTAATTGTTTGATTACTCTTCTGGACTAATTCTGCAAAATTTGTATGTTTTTAATTTTTAAAAAACTTTTAATTGCTATGTAAACACAACTATTGTACTTATTTGTGGAGTACATGTGATATTTTGATACAAGCATACAATGTGTAATGATCAAATAAATCAGGGTAATTGGGGTATCCATCACCTCAAGTATTGATTATTTCTTTGTGTTAGAAACATTTCAATTCCATTTTACAATTATTTTGAAATATACAACAACTTATTGTTAACTATATATTCTGTATGTGGCTTCTGACATCTCTGCTTGGTTTGCCTGATGGTCATGTAATAATTGAACAGAGTTTTTCTCACATGCCTTGAACAAGTAAGTCTATGAATCTTTGCTAAGTGGCTCTATGTTAACGTTGAGACATACCTCCAATGCTTGGTTAGGCAATTTAAACTTTACCTTTTCCTTCACTGCCTCTTTTCATGGTTATTGTGATAGTCAAACTGTTGGGTTTTTTTTTTTTTTTTTTTTTTTTTTTGAGATGGAGTCTCGCTCTGTCGCCCAGGCTGGAGTGCAGTGGTGCAATCTTGGCTCACTGCAAACTCTGCCTTCCAGGTTCACACCATTCTCCTGCCTCAGCCTCCCGAGTAGCTGGGACTACAGGTGCCCAGCAGTGCACCAAGCTACTTTTTTGTATTTTTAGTAGAGACAGGGATTCACTGTGGTCTCGATCGCCTGACCTCATGATCCACCTGCCTAGGCCTCCCAAAGTGCTGGGATTACAGGCGTGAGCCACCGCGCCCAGGCAAACTGTTGGTTTTTGAGGCTAACATGAAGTGGACAAGAGAAGGTGGGAATGTGGCAAATTAAACCACCACAAAACATACTCTTCTTACCTAGATTCAGCATTTTTATCACAAATAAATAATGTTCAAATGGTTGCAAGACTTTTTTAATTTCCAGAATTCTCAATGATTTTGATTTTTTTTTTGCAAACATTTTTGTTGCTTTTATGGAGGAGTGGATTTTCAGAGATTCTTTCTCCACCCTTCAATAAGGAGATTCTTCCCTTATTTCTTGAGGTAAAAAGTTAGATTACTTATTTAATATCTTTCTTTTTTTCTATTATATGTGTTTATAGCTATAAAGTTCCTTTTTAGCAATGTTTTAATGGTTTCCTATAAAATGAGATATGCTGTGATTTGATTTCATTCACTTCAAAATATTTTCCACTTTTTCTTTTTATTTATTCTTTTATCCTTATGCTGTTAACAAGTGTATTGCTTAACTTTCAAATATTTGTGGATTTCCCAGATGTTGTTTTGTTGTTTTTTTCTAATTGTGATATAATCAGAGAACACGCTTTGCATGATTTCAAATTTTTCAACATATTTAGACCTGTTTCATGGTATAGTGTATGCTCTATCTTGAGAAATGTTCCACATGTACTTGACATAAATATATATTATGATTTTTTAGGTGTAGTGTTCTATAAATATCAGTTATATCAATTGGTTTGATACTATTTTTCAAGTATCTTATATTCTTACTAATTTTTGTCTTGTTTCTCTATTAATTATTAAAAATAGGTTATTGAAATCTACAACTATTAGAGTTGAATTCTCTATTTCTCCCTTTAATTACGTCAGTTTTTGCTTTATGTATTTAGAGTCTCTATTGCTCAGTGAGTATGTTTTTAAAATATGTATATATATATAATGCCCAATTAACTGACCTTTTTATCAGTATAAAATATTTTTCTCTTTCTCTAGTAATAGCTTTTTCTTAACGTCTATATTTTATTATATTTGCATGCACTCCCAGATCATGTATGTTTACTGTTTGCATAGTATATATGTTTGTCCATCTTTTTTGATATGGTTTGAATATTTGTTTCTTCCAAATCTCATGTCAAAATGTGATTCCCAATGTTGGAGGTGGGACAAGGTGGGAGATGTTTGGATAATGTGGGTGAATCCCTCATAAATAGTTTAGCACTATCCCGTTGGTGATAACTGAATTTTCTCTCAGCTATTTGACACAAGGTCTGGCTGTTTAAAAGAGTCTGAGAACTCCCCCTTCTCCCTCTCTTGTTCCCACTCTCACCATGTAATTTGGTGCTCCCCTTTGCCTTCCACCGTGGTTGTTAGCTCTCTGAGGCCTCACCAGAAGCAGATGCCAGAACCATGTTTTCTTTAAAGCCTGCAGAGCCATGAGCCAAATAAAACCTTTCTTTATAAATTACCCAGTCAGGTATTTATAGCAACACAAGAATGGACTTTTACTTTCAACCTGTTTTTGTCTTTCAACCTAAAATGTATCTCTTGAATATGGTATGCACATGGATCTTATTTTGGCTTAAGTACAGCCTCATATTCTCTCCCTTTTAATTAATTATATTCAGTGTAATTTTTGATATGATTTGCTCTATGTTTGCAAAAGTACTATTTGTCTTCTGTGTGTCTCATATCTGTTTGTTCCTCTTTTCCTTCTTTACTTTTGTAATTTGTATTAAATAGATATCTTCTAGTGTACCATTTTAATTTTTTTTCTGGTGTGTGTGTGTATGTATAGAAAACTACATATATATACATAAATATACTGATATGCATATATGATATTGACCATATCAGTATGCATATATTTATATCAAACCACATAAAAAATAAAGGTTGTCTGTAAAGGTAATCACAAAGGTAAATATAAATGACAGTATAAATACATTTGTCTCTTTTCTTAAGTGATTTAAAATAAAATTATATAAAATGAAATCTTAAAAACTGATTTGATAAGTCTATATCATAGTTATAAAATTAGAGCAATAGAAGCTATTTTGTTTTGGATTTTTGTTGTTGCTGTTATTGTTTGTTTCACTATCCAAGTTTATATTTTTTAACAAAGATCCTGGGCATGAGGTTTTTCAAGGCTTCTCCAAATCAAGTCAGTGCCCTGTAACATCAATATCCTTCATTTTCTTGGCCTGCCTTGTCCTGGTATAACTACTGCTCTGAAGGAAATGAGTGGTGGGTAGGAGTAGTCATGGGCTAAATTGCAGTAGATTTAACTGTGTTTTACCTGAGATTCATTATCTTTTTAAAAATAAACGATTCTTAATTATTTGTAGGCCTGTGATGAATTTCAAGATTTCTATCATGGTCATTTTTAACAATTTTGTTTAGTTTTATCATTTTTGGTGAGAGGAAGAGGATTCACTGAGCCCAGCTCCACCAAACTAGAAGTTCTTCCTTAGGAATATGTGATGGATATTAGAATAGGATATTAAATTTAGGAAATTGAACTAAATATTTGTGTAATTCATCATGTTTATTTCTAAGTAATTCTCCACTCATATTTAGAAAGGACTTTGTAATACCTCTATTTTGTCTCAACTATAAAGAGAGACCAAGTGAGGGGCCTTTTGTACCTACTTAATTTAGAGCTGCATTCTGGAAATATTTTGTTAGGGTCTTAGGTTAGTGCTAGCAGTAATAGAACTGTAAGAAACACAAAGAGAGATAACATCTAAGAGATGGAATTGGAGTCACTGACTTGGAGCCTTTTCCTACCCTGAAATTCTACTTTTCTGTTTGTTTATTTGTTTGTTTGTTTGCTTGCTTGCTTTCTTGCTTCCTTGGTTGCTTGTTTAACTCCCTACTAATCACCACTGACTGAGAAGTTTTCTAAATTTCTAAACCACCAACTGAGAAATTTTGACTTCATTTTCTTAGGGTGGTAGAAATTCATTGTCATTCTTACTCAACTATTGGTTTCTCTAGAATATGTATTAGGTCTACAGAGGTTTAATCAGTATATTGTTCTTACCGTTTTCACAGTGCCTGGCATATAGTGCCCTCTCAAGAAAAGAACATTAAATCAATAAGTGAGTACATCAGTAATAAATCTCCAACATGAACATGTAATATACTCTTCACTATATAAACATACTCTCAAAGGCTAATGAGGTAGGTACCAGAACAATGGTGTACCACAGAGGGCTTTTTTAAATTAATTAATTAATTTCATTATTGGTTTGACTTTCTGTGTCTCGTTTCTTATTTGGTAGAGTGCAAGTTATCTTTTTTTTAAAAGTTGATATTAGGAAATTTTCTCTTAAGAGTGGAACTAATTTACATGACTTTGGAAATACTGTTGTCACACTTTTATGAGGAGTTAAAATGTTCTACATAAAGCAAACTTAGAGTGGCTGTTTGACTATTTAGAAGTTCTTCCCTGATCTTATATTTTTGTCTGAATATTTTAGATTGCCAAATTAATGCTATATTTGTTAGTGAGATTTGATGAAGCATTAGTGGTTAAAGGTAAATATGTAATATATGCTTCATTTAGGAAGCTCTGAATTATTAAAAAGGCCAAATATTAGTAGTGATAGTTGCAGTCATCTGTTCTTCATTCCTCCTGCACAATTTCATTAGTAGATAAGGCTATTTTGTGCTCTTGATATAGTAAAATTACTCACTCTTTCCAAATGCCAGAGATAGGGATTTAAAAATAATTAACATGAAAAACTGAAAATAATGAATCTTTGTTTTGTTTCAACTACAAAGACAATCATTTAATAGTTTATATATAGATTTCTTTACTTCTTGTAAGTAATGGTAGATGCCTGTACACATCAGAATGTTGGCTCACCAGATAGGCTAGGTTTGCTGAATTTATGTGTCATTGCTGATCCATCTGAAATACAAGCCACCATATGTCAGTTTACTTATTGAAGCTGGAAAAGAATCCATTATAGAAAATAATTTTAGATATACAATCATGTCATCTGCAAACAGGGACAATTTGACTTCCTCTTTTCCTAATTGAATACCCTTTATTTCCTTCTCCTGCCTAATTGCCCTGGCCAGAACTTCCAACCCCGTCGTCTCAGCCCAAAATCTCCTTAAGCTGATAAGCAACTTCAGCAAAGTCTCAGGATACAAAATCAATGTGCAAAAATCACAAGCATTCTTATACACCAATAACAGACAAAGAAAGAGCCAAATCATGAGTGAACTCCCATTCACAATTGCTTCAAAGAGAATAAAATACCTAGGAATCCAACTTACAAGGGATGTGAAGGACCTCTTCAAGGAGAACTACAAACCACTGCTCAAGGAAATAAAAGAGGATACAAACAAATGGAAGAACATTCCATGCTCATGGGTAGGAAGAATCAATATCATGAAAATGGCCATACTGCCCAAGGTAATTTACAGATTCAATGCCATCCCCATCAAGCTACCAATGCCTTTCTTCACAGAATTGGAAAAAACTACTTTAAAGTTCATACGGAACGAAAAAACAGCCGGCATCGCCAAGTCAATCCTAAGCCAAAAGAACAAAGCTGGAGGCATCACACTACCCGACTTCAAACTATACTACAAGGCTACAGTAACCAAAACAGCATGGTACTGGTACCAAAACAGAGATATAGATCAATGGAACAGAACAGAGCCCTCAGAAATAACGCCGCATATCTACAACTATCTGATCTTTGACAAACCTGAGAAAAACAAGCAATGGGGAAAGGATTCCCTATTTAATAAATGGCGCTGGGAAAGCTGGCTAGCCATATGTAGAAAGCTGAAACTGGATCCCTTCCTTACACCTTATACAAAAATTAATTCAAGATGGATTAAAGACTTAAATGTTAGACCTAAAACCATAAACACCCTAGAAGAAAACCTAGGCATTACCATTTAGGACATAGGCATGGGCAAGGACTTCATGTCTAAAACACCAAAAGCAATGGCAACAAAAGCCAAAATTGACAAATGGGATCTAATTAAACTAAAGAGCTTCTGCACAGCAAAAGAAACTACCATCACAGTGAACAGGCAACCTACAAAATGGGAGAAAATTTTCGCAACCTACTCATCTGACAAAGGGCTAATATCCAGAATCTACAATGAACTCAAACAAATTTACAAGAAAAAAACAAACAACCCCATCAAAAAGTGGGTGAAGGACATGAACAGACACTTCTCAAAAGAAGACATTTATGCAGCCAAAAGACACATGAAAAAATGCTCATCATCACTGGCCATCAGAGAAATGCAAATCAAAACCACAATGAGATACCATCTCACACCAGTTAGAATGGCAATCATTAAAAAGTCAGGAAACAACAGGTGCTGGAGAGGATGTGGAGAAATAGGAACACTTTTACACTGTTGGTGGGACTGTAAACTAGTTCAACCATGGTAGAGGTCAGTGTGGCGATTCCTCAGGGATCTAGAACTAGAAATACCATTTGACCCAGCCATCCCATTACTGGGTATATACCCAAAGGACTCTAAATCATGCTGCTATAAAGACACATGCACACGTATGTTTATTGTGGCACTATTCACAATAGCAAAGACTTGGAACCAACCCAAATGTCCAACAATGATAGACTGGATTAAGAAAATGTGGCACATATACACCATGGAATACTATGCAGCCATAAAAAACAATGAGTTCATGTCCTTTGTAGGGACATGGATGAAATTGGAAATCATCATTCTCAGTAAACTATTGTGAGGACAAAAAACCAAACATGGCATGTTCTCGCTCATAGGTGGGAACTGAACAATGAGAACACATGGACACAGGAAGGGGAACATCACACTCTGGGGACTGTTGTGGGGTGGGGGGAGTGGGGAGGGATAGCATTAGGAGATATACCTAATGTTAAATGACGAGTTAATGGGTGCAGCGCACCAGCATGGCACATGTATACATATGTAACTAAGCTGCACATTGTGCACATGTACCCTAAAACTTAAAGTATAATAATAATAAAGAAAAAAATTATGTTAAATAAAATCTTATTTTTTCAAAAAAAAAAGAAAATAATTTTAGAGCATTACTTGAGTAGTGTTTGTCTCTCCTCAATAAAATCTTTATACTTACACAATTTTATTTATTTTGTATCTTGCTTTTGGTCATTTAAAATGCTGATGACATTTTAGCTGATTCAATGGTGTAGAAGCCCCATTGCTACCATCTGACATATTTCAGTCTGCGACATAAAATCTGGACATTAAAATCTTTTCTGGTGCTACCTTAAAGGCCCAGATACTTTCACTTACATACTTGTAAGAAGATCCTATAGCACTATGGACACTCACTTTATGTTAAATCCTGCTTTCTCTTTATGTACAGTTCATTTTATTTTCTTACATCAAAGTCTAACTGGAATGGTTTTGCCCAGTTATAGTCCAGAAATGAACATAAGCTGCTATTCCATCTATGAGTGCCTCCAATGTGGAGAGGGTCATTTGAATTTGGGATGACTTATTTTGCCAGGTTCAATTAAGTATCAGCATATTGGAGAAAGAGCCCAAATAGATTTAGGTGACCAGCTTCTTACTGCATCATTCAAGTACAGAAAATATTCAACATTATCAATGCCAGTAGAGGGATACACATTTCTGCTTTTATTTTTAGTGTCTTTGCTACTGAAATGTCTTGAGTAAAGGTTGCACATTTCACACAATGGCTCATTTCACACCTTCAGCAAACAGAAAAGCATATTTGAAATAATGTAGTCAGTTTAGGATAATTTCTTGGTGAGAATCCCTTGTCTTTGCCCCAGTCATCTGTTTTCACACAAAAATTTAAAGTTTCATCATTTCATAATACTAGCATCAATAAATGTTAATAGACTTTGACTTGTTCTGGTAACATAGCAGCTGACAGATGCTTTTCTGAAGACAATAAAAAAGTATTTATTCAAGCAGGTGATGAATGATATATATGGCATTTCTTAAACTTGTGCTTCTCTAGAACAGTGAAGCGCATTGGTTTGCAGATGTTTATTGTGGCCTTCGAGAGATTGCTAATAAATGTTTTAATAGATCACTCTCATTTCAAGTTCTCTAGATCTAACAACAGACTCTTATTCTTCCTTCCTTCATCTCATTTTTGTAGTTATTTATTTTTCTTGCCCCTAGAAAAATAAATAATCTAGTTTATGTCTTAGTAGAAGCATCACACCAATGTGACAATAATTTTGTTAATGATTTATAAACATATACCACAATAAGTCTTTGTAGCCATTGTCAAAATGTTCTATTCTAAAGGGAATATAAGAGAGATAAAAAAGTATAAAATCCATGCCCAATAATGTCATGCCTTGATGAAAATATGTTCAGAATAGTAAAATAATGGCAATCTGCTTTCTGGAATTGGATTTGTCTTTAACGATGCAGGATACAGGGATCCTTGGTTGTCTAATTTGTAATGCTAAGCCATGAGCGGTGTTGACATTAAAATTCGAAATAGCTCTGTTATCAATGACAACTTACAGCAGCAACACTGATATGGATATTTAGCTGATTATTAAAACATGTATTTTGCCAGAGGGTAGGATTTTCATTCCTGATGTTTGATTTTAGTAATAGCGGTAATCTTACAGTTCTCCCTTTGGGTATAGTAAAATTCTTCCAAGTGAAAGAGAATCAATCATACATTTCACATAAACTGGGAACATTTTAACCACCGTGGAGAGAAGCACTACTTGACACTGAAATTTCTCATCTCCACACCTTACTTCAACTGACTTGTGTTTGTTTGTTTGTTTTGTTTTTACTTTTTCACTCATGTTAATGTTAGTATACATTATGGTTATTTTCTTGTTTTAGAGGCAGCTCTTATCCTAGCATCCTAGCCAGGGGGGAATTTATTCTCTGAATGCCAAAAAAAGAATGATGAACTATGCCCACATCCATTTCCTTTAAAGTGGAATTACTTCTTTACATTGCAGAAGGGGTTATAAACAAATTGACCCCTTGCTGTAATTGTCAAAATATCAACACACACACACAGTCTCATAATGCATGTACTAGCTTTGTTAACTGACACTTACAGAGGATAGAGCATTCATTCATTCATTCATGCACTCATCACTTCAACATTCATTATACATTTCTAGTGCATGCAAATGATTATTTTGGGTACTTAACTGAGTTGAATAATGATCTTATAATAAATGAAGTTTCCACTTTTTGGTTCATGTGAGGAGGTCATATATAAATAAATATCCTATATATACCATGTATAGATGAATACACTTTTTCTTTAACCAAATAATACATATTCTACGGAAGGATATTATAAATAAATAGTCTCTCACAAACAGACTATAAAATTCTTCCAAATCTAATTCCATAATAAGCAACAGTGGTATGCAAATGAATGTATAGAATACAGATGTCCAATTTAAATTAGATAATGTTTGAATGGGGGTGTCAGTGCTATAGCTAAAAATAAGAGGTAGAAGAAAGTTGTCATGCTTAAGGATGTGGTAATGAACTTCTGCCTGGGCTGAAACTAAGGTCTCTATTTATTGGCTGTGACCTTGGAAATGACAATACTTCTGGGCCTCCATTTGTTAATATATATAATGGAGATCATTATAATAACTAGCTCCCTAGGTTTATGTAAAAGTTCGAGGAGATCATGCATGTAAATCCCTTAGTATCCTGCCTGGCCTAGAGAGTAAACCCTCAGTAAATATTAGCTATTGTTGTTGTTACAGGCTCACACATGTAAAAATTTATTGGCTTGGAAACCTCAAAATTATTTTTTAGTTTAATTAATTATTAATACACAAACATGCAATTGTGGCATGTTAAACGAATCAGAAAATATAACTTTCATGGAGGCAGTGCCAAATAGATATGTGTCACAAAATGGCAAGTAGCCAGTTAAATTAGACCTAATTTTTTTTAATGACATGATGTTGTAGTTACTGATTTCAACATAAGTTACTAACAATGAGGATTTATTTCTTTGCTTTCCATGTATGCTAATTATACCTCCATTATAAAATATTCTAAATAGAATGGTTAAAGATAAGTAATTCCAGGAGATATTCTATCTTGAAATGGCATTTTAATTAAATTTGTTCAGACTTTTTAGGAGCTATTACAGTACATAGGCTCCATGAAAAACTGTATGATTGAACAGCAGGAGGTGAGAATGTGTTTCCAACAATTGGGAGATGAACTATACCAATGAAATTACATAGATTCTTTAAGTTTCAATTCAAATATTATCTTCATCCTGATGTTTTCTCTATCTTTTTAACTTCTCTTAAGAATTTTCTATTCTTTCATCTCCACTATCTTAACATATTGTACATTCTCCCTTCTTTGCTTTTTCAATACACATAGCTTTTTATTATATATCTCTCTTCCTAGCCTCAAGAGCAGACGTCAGTCAAGTCTTAATGGGCTTGTAGCTCCAGTTATTGATTATTTGTATGTATTTTAAATATGTGGTTTTTATTTTTTATTGCTACGTAATGGCTATGCACATTGGCTACATGTGATATTTTGATACATGCATACAGTGTGTAATGGTCAACTCAGGGTAATTGGGATCTACATCACCTCAAACATTTATTATTTCTTCTTCTATTATTTCAAGGCTACAGTAAGCAAAACAGCACGGTACTGGTACAAAAACAGACACACAGAACAAGAGAACAGAATAGAGAACCCAGAAATCAAGCCACACATCTACATCTACAATGATCTGATCCTTAACAAAGTCAACAAAAATAAGCAATGGAGGAAGGACTCTCTACTCATTAAACAACTTTGAGATAACTGGCTATCTATATGCAGAAGAATTAAACTGGACCCCTACCAATCACTATAAACAAAAATTAACACAAGATGGATTAAAGTCTTAAATGTAAGACCTAAAACTATAAAAAATCCTTGAAGAAAACCTAGTAAATATCCTTCTAGACACTGACTGGCTTTGGAAAGGAATTTATAACTAAGTCCTCAAAAGTAATTGCTACAAAAACAAGAATTAACAAGTGGGATCCAATGAAACTAAAGAGCTTCTGTATAGCAAAAGAAACTATCAACAGAGTAAACATCACCCTACAGAATGGAAGAAAATATTTCCAAACCATGCATTCGACAAAGTCATAATATTCACAATCTCCAATGAGCTTTAACAATTCAACAAGAAAAAAACAAATAATCCCATTAAAAAGTGGACAAAGGACATGAACAGAGATTTCTCAAAAGACAGACAAGCGACCAACAAACATAAAAAGTTATGAATTTTGAATACAGTGTAGAATTATTAAGTTAAGCTAATTAACATACCCATCACCCCAAATATTTAACATTTTTGTGATGAGAACATTAGAAATATACTTTCTTTGTGATATTGAAATGTAGGGTATTAAGTTATTAGCTATATTCAGCATGCTGTACAATTTATCTCCAAAAAAATTATGCTTATTTCTCCTGAGACTTTGTAGCCTTTGACAATGATGATGGATATTTTTAATTGAAGATTTGATGAGAAATTGATATGCACTAGGATTACTAGAATGATGATAAAATTCAGCTTAATTTCTTCTTTATTAAAAACAAAATTTGAAGTCTTAAGAGATTTAAAAGTTTCAAATTTAAAAAAGTCTTCTGATATATTAAGAAATCTTGTAAGCTGGGCTACTTACTATATTCATGAGGTTTATTTATACAGTATTATAACATGGAGCTAAATGGTTGTAAATGTGCTATATGAATTTCTATTCAGATGTGGTTATTCCTATGACAGATAAACATGCTTCTGCTACTTGATAGGGCAATGGTAAAAGTACAATAAATATGCACATTGGGATTTCCAAAGATATATTTTTCTCCACAGCAGATTTAGTACGCTTTCAAATAAAGTTTTAACAGTGCTTCGTGGAATGTTAAAATTAATGCAGAGTGCCTGCTCTTACTGCTAATATAAGCCAGAAACGTAATCATATACCAAGCCATTGGTAGTTCCCAAACTTGCCTACCATTAGCTGGAATGCTTCAATAAAAATAAATGTGAAACATGTGAATGTCTCTGTCTCATCCCCAGAGATTATGACCTAATTGATTTGGGGTGGAGATTATTATTTCACTGGTCTATGGGGGTAGGGAGTGGAGCTGAGTTTTGAAATTTTTTAAAATTCTCAAAGAGATGTTAATGTGCAAAGCAGTTTGAGAACTTCTGCACTAAACAATTATTCTTGTTTTAAAATGTTTGCCCTCGTCTTCAGCAAGAACAATTTCCCAGTCATTAGTAAAACTCCTAATTCTGTAATGAAACAAAACCAAATCTCTATTCCTGTCTGTAAATAGGATTACCAAGTCAATTCCAGAAAGCTTTACAGTAAGGTTAATGTGTAAATGTGCTAAATTAAAGATTCCCTAAAGGGAACTTTATATTTGTGATCATACAAACATTGATTTAGTATTATGTCCAATAAATAATTTTAGCAAATTTTGTAGAAAATGAAATCCTATCCAAATTCTGTAGAACTATTTATTTTTGATCTGGCTATCTAAGAATGGAAAACTATATACAGAAGTATCTTCAGAAAGGCAATCTTTAATTACATACATATTTCATTTATTTATTCATTTACCCATTCATTTATTCATGTATTAGCTTTTTATTGTAGAATTTTTTTGTTTAATTTTTTTTCTTTGTAATTCTTATGGGCACATAGTGGGTGTATATAATTATGGGGAACATAAAATATTTTATATAGGCATGTAATGTGTAATACTCACCCGAGGGTAGCAGGGGATACGTCACCTCAAGCATTCATGATCCCTTTGTGTTGTGAATGTTCTAATTGTACTCCCTGAGTAATTCTAAAATGTAACAAAATTATTGTTGTAATCACCCTGTTGTGCTATCAAATAGTAAATCTTATTCATTGTATATAACTGTATTTCTGTACCCATTAACCATTCCTATTCCCCCCACCTCACTACACTTCCCAGCCTCTGGTAACTACCATTCTACTCTCTAACTCCATGAGTCTCCATGAGATCAATTGTTTTAATTTTTAGCTCCCACAAATGAGTAACAACATGCAAAGTTTATCTTTCTGTGTCTGGCTTATTTCACTTAACATAATCTCCTCCAGTTATATTCATATGGTTGCGTATGACAGACTCTCATTCATTCTTCTTTATTGCTGAAAAGTATACCATTGTGTATAGATACTACATTTTTTTTTTTATTTGAGACAGAGTCTCACTCTGTCGCCCAGGCTGGAGCCAGCTGGAGTGCAGTGGCACAATTTCAACTCAATGCAAATTACTCCTCTGGGTTCAAAAGATTCTCCTGCCTCAGCCTCCCGAGTAGCTGGGATTACAGGTGAGCACCACCACAACTGGCTAATTTTTGTAATTTTAGTAGACACAGGGTTTCACCATGTTGGCCAGGCTGGTCTTGAACTCCTGTCCTCAAATGCTCCGCCCAACTCAGCCTCCCAAAGTGCTGGGATTACAGGCATGAGCCACCACCCCTGACCACGTATTCTTTATTCATTTTTTTTGCTGAAGGACACTTAGGTTGCCCTCAAATCTTGGCTATTGTGAACAGTGGTGTGGTAAATATGAGAGGGCAGGTATCTCTTCAATATAGTGTTTTTCTTTCTTTTGGGTATATACCTAGCAGTAGAATTGTCAGATCATGTGGCAGTTTAGTTTTTGGTTTTTTAGGAATCTCTGTATGTTTCTCTAATTTACGTTCCCATCAACAGAGTAGGATTGCCTTTCCTCCACATCCTTGTCAGTATTCATTATAGTCTTTCGGATAAAAGCCATGTTAATTGGGGTGAGATGATATCGCATTATAGCTTTGATTTGCATTTCTCTGATGATCACTAATGTAGAGCACCGTTTCATATTCCTGTTTGCCATTTGTGTGTCTTCTTTTGAGAAATGTCTATTTAGATCTTTTGCCCAATTTTTAATTGGATTATTCAATTTATTTCCTATAGAGTTGTATGAGTTCCTTATATAACCTGGTTATTAATTCCTTATTAGATGGGTAATTTGCAAATATTTTCCACCATTTTGTGAGTTGGCTCTTCACTTGGTAGATTGTTTCCTTTGCTGTGCAGAAGTTTTTTAGCTAAATGTGATCTCATTCATTCATTTTAGCTTTGGTTGCCTCTGCTTTTGGGATATTGCCCAAGAAATCTTTACCCTGACCAATGTCCTGGAGATTTTCCCCTACGTGATCCCTTAGTAGTTTCATATTTTCATGTCTTAGATATAAGTCTTTAATCCATTTTGATTTGCTTTTTGAATACGGTGAGACACATGGACTTAGTTTCATTCTTCTGCAGATGGATATTCAGTTTTCCCCGCACCATTAATTGAGAGATTGTCTATTCTCCAATGTATGTTCTTGGCACTTTTGTCAAAAATGAGTTCACTGTAGATGTGTAGGTTTTCTTCTGGGTTTCCTATTCTGTTAAACTAGTCTATGTGTCTGTTTTTCATACTAGTATTATGTTGTTTTGGTTATTATAACTCTGTAGTATAATTTGAAGTCAAGTAATGTGATCCCTCTTGTTTTGTTATTTTTGCTCAGGAAGGCTTTGGCCCTTCAAGGTCTTTTGTGGTTCCATATAAATTTTAGGATTGTTATTTCTATTTCTGTGAAGAATGTCATTGGTATTTTGATAGGAATTGCATTGAATCTATAGATTGCTTTGGGTCCTATGGACACTTCAATATTCATTCTTACAATCTATGAACAAGAAATATCTTTTATTATTTTTTTCTTTATTTATTTTGTTGCATCAATGTCTTATAGTTTTCATCGTAGAGATCTTTCACTTATTTAGTTATGTTTATTCCCAGGTATTTTATTTTGCTGGTAGCTATTGTAAATGGGGTTACTTTCTTGATTTCTTTTGTAGATTGTTTGCTGTTGGCATATACAAATGCTACTAACTTTTGAATGTTGATTTTGTATCCTGAAATTGTACTGAATTTGTTAGTCAGTTCTAAACGTTTTCTTTGTTGAGTCTTTAGGTTTTTCCAACTATAAGATTATACCATCTGCAAACAAGGATAATTTGACTTCTTCCTTTACAATCTGAATGCATTTTATTTCTTTATCTTGTTTAATTGCTTTAGTTAGAACTTCCAGTACTATGTTGAATAAAAGTGGTAAAAGTGGGCATCTTTGTCTTTTTCCAGATCTTAGAGATTTTTCCCATTCAGTGTCATACTGGCTGTGGGTCTGTCACATATGGCTCTTAACTGTGTTGATGTATGTTCCTTTTATACCCAGGTTTTTGAGGGTTTTCATCCTGAAGGAATGTTGAATTTTATCAAATGCTTTTTCAATATCAATTGAAATGATCACATCATTGTTACCCTTTATTCTGTTGATGTGATGTATCATGTTGATTGATTTGCAAATGCTGAACCATCTTTGCATCCTTGAGATGAATCCCTCTTGGTCATGATAAACAATCTTTATAACACATTACTGAATTCAGTTTGTTACTATTTTGTTGAGGATTTTTGGGTCACTGTTCATCAGAGATACAGGCCTGTAGTTTTGTTTTTCTGTTGTGTATTTATCTGGTTTTGGCATCAGGGCGATCCTGACCTGATATGGTGATTTTGGAAGCATTCTCTCCTTTTTTGGGGGAACATTTTGGATAGGATTGGTATTAGCTCTCTTTAAATGTGTGTCAGAATTCATCAGTGAAACCATCAAGTCCTGGGCTTTTCTTCGCTGGGAGACTTTTTATTATGGTTTCATCTTGTTACTTGTTATTATTATTATTTCTTCATGGTTCAATCTTGATAGGTTGCAGGTGTCTAGGAATTTATCCATTTCTTCTAGGTTTTCCAATTTATTGGCATAGAATTGCTCATAGTAGTCTCCAATGATCCTTTGAGTTTCTGCAGTGCCAGTTATAATGTCTATTTTTTCATCTCTGCTTTTATTTATTTGAATCTACTTCCTTTTTTCTTAGTTTTGCTAAAGGTTTGTTGACTTTGTTTATCTTTTCAAAACACTATCATTTGACTTTTTGTATTTTTAGTAGTTATTTCTGCTATGATGTTTATTATTTTTTCTTCTACTAATTTGGATTTGGTTTGCTCTTGCTTTTCTAGTTCTTTAAGATACATTGTTAGGTTGTTAATTTGAAGTTTTCTACTTTTTGGATGTAGTCACTTATTGCAATGAACTCTCCTCTTACTACTGTTTTTGTTGTACCTTATAGGGTTTTTGTATCTTTTATTTCCATTTTCATTTGTTTCAATAAATTTTTAAACTTCCTTCTTAATTTCTTCATTGACCCACTGGTCATTCAGTGCATTTTCTTTAATTTCCACGTGTTTGTATAGTTTCCAAAGTTCTTCTTATTATTGATTTCTAGTTTTATTCCATTGTTATCTGACAAGGTACTTGATATGATTTCAATTTTTTTTAATTTTAGGACTTGTTTTGTCATCTAACATATGGTCTATCTTTAAGAGTGATCCATGTGCTGTGGAGCATGTGTTAGTTTATTATATTCTTAAATCTTTGATCAGTAGCTAATATGGGGCAGGCCCTATATTAAATTCTATGTGGGAAAAAAGAGATAAAAATATTATTTTTAAAAAAAATTTAGAATTTTTATTATCCTTTGGCATAGTTACAGTAAATAATCCAAGAGAATAAGAGATGAGCAGAAAATGTATATATAATGTTAAGAAGCACACAAATTACAGTAGAATTTTTACAAAAAGAAAATTTCTAATTTATACTAAATCTATAATTGAGGATGTGGTGGAGTGGTTAGCACATTTTTTAATAGTCCATATTCAACTATGTGGAATAGTGTATATTCAAGTATTCAAGTATGTGGAAAAATTCTTGCAATCTGGGAATAACAACAGCTTTCAATTCAGACCAAATATTATATATCAGGCTCTGTGATAAATTATTCACTTTTAATCTCATACTAATCTTCACAACAACCTTATTATGTAGGTTTTACTAGCTTCCTTTTATATGTTAGAAAATTGAGGAAAAGAGAAAATCAGTATGTTACTCAATGTCATACACCTATTAAATAGCTAAGCTCAGTTTGGAAGACCCTAAGTATATACTTGTAACTATTATTCTGTATTTTTAATAAAGAATAGGATAATATATAATTATAGGGATAGTGGAATCAACATTTAATTTTAAAGGATAAATAATTTATTATGAGAATACACAGTAATTTCTATTGTCATTTTTTTCTCTCTCTTCTTTTTATATTTTATTTAATGAATATGGGTTAAATTTATAATAAGAAAATCAAAATAAACATAAATGTGAAGAGTATCTGTGCTAGCAGGAATTTCCCATCAATATGAGCAGCAATGACTACCCCCATCTTTTTGGGCCTTGCTCAGCCTGGGGTTGGCTGTCAGGAAGGGCACGTTCTCTACTCTTTTCCTTAGGCCTCATCTCCGTTGATCAGCAGTTGATGTGTTCCTAGCCATGTTAAAACCTCAAGAGGAAGGCAAAATAAGAGGATAAGTCAGGTCCTATGCGGCTGGCTGGTTTCACACTCTTGGTGCTTGAATATATTTAAAGTAGCTTTCCCGGATGGCCACACTAGGTGGGAGAAGCTAACTTTCTCTATCAGTAAAATGTTACTGTGGGCCTTCTCTGAAGAACTTTCTTCAGGTGGGAAGAAAGCACCTCTGATTTGGGTGCCTCTCAGAGCTCCTTCTGTAGCCATTGGGCATCAAGATACTTTCAAGCCTTTCTTCTGAGGTCTTCCCTCATCCTCTCCAACATGACCCTAAAGGATAAAACATACCCTACATGGATTTCTCTCTCTCAGTCACATCTGGTCAACAGGAAATATTCACCCATTCCTTGTTCTGACAGACTTTAGGCAAGCAGGATAATTTGAATGGCAAGGAGAAGGTGTAAACTAAGAAGAAAAAAATAATAACTCCCCCTCACGTAGAAAGACATATTCCTCTACTTTTTTTGTTTCAGAGCACTTTCTTTTAAAAATATGTACTTGCATATTCTTTCCCTGCCCCCTTGAGATAGATATATAAATCTTTTTAAAAGTTAAATTAACCTAATTCCAGCTTTATAACCTAGGAATATCATTCTTTAGGACCTGGGAGGCACCTGTTTAAAATGGAATCAAGGAAAATAGAGCCCTATCCCAGTGGCGGGATAGGAGCCTACTAACTTGGTAGACCATGTAGCACAACATTGCAAAACTGTCTTCTGTCACACATACGAGAAGTTTTTTTTTGTTTTTGTTTTTGTTTTTATAAAGCCTATTAGCTACCACAGACGGTCAGCCTAATTACCAAGTGAGTTTGCTATGCAGTCAAGTCCTATTACTTGAAGACTGGTTATTGTTTGTCTTTCAAACACATATGTAATGAATTCTTTCTGCTTGCCTATGTAAAAAGGTAAGATTTTTTCTGTCTCTGCAACCTCCTTCGAGATTTACTGTTTTTAGTGGATTACCTGTGATATGCTTTGTATTCTGGTTTAATGTATATTTTACAATAAAACTATTTTATTTATCTTTTATTGTTTTAGAGAGGGTTTCTGGGTTGAGATTTTTATTATTTATTTAATTTATTTATTTATTTATTGAGATGGAGTCTTGCTCTGTCACCCAGGCTGGAGTGCAGTGGCGAGATCTTGGCTCACTGCAACCTCTGCTTCCAGGGTTTGAGCATTTCTCCTGCCTCAGCCTCCTGAGTAGCTGGGATTACAGGTGCGTGTCACCATTCCCAGCTAACTTTTGTGTTTTTAGTAGAGACAAGGTTTCACCATGTTGGCCAGGCTGGTCTTTAACTTCTGACCTCTAATGATCCTCCTGCCTCAGCCTCCCAAGGTGCTGGAATTACAGGTGTGAGCTACCACGCCTGGCTGAGATTTTGTTTTTAATCACACTTCAACACAGTGCAGCAGCCTTCACTCTCTGGCTCTACCACTGAAACAACTCACTTTTCCTTTACCTCTAGAAGTATTCAGTAGTTCACTGTCTATTGACCTCAATTATGAGTTAGGCACCTAAACAGAATTTTCCGTGGACTACCACCTCCTTTCCTTTCCTAAAAGAAGGAGTGAGAACTGTGTTTAGGGTAACAACTTTCTCTAAAGAAATGTGTTCATCAGTCACTTAATTTTACTGTCTTTGACCTCTTTTTACAACTGTCATCTGACTTATGGATCTACCAAGAAATAGGAATAAATTTCTTGTAACCTTTCTAATTCTGCACATGGAAGTGAGAAGTTCATAGACATTTTGGTGTTCTTAAACTTATAGGGTGGAAAATATTTTCAGAAGTGGAGAAAGAAGCATTCTATTTACACATTCTGCTCCAATTACAGTAAGTGGAATAGTAAAATATACATTATTCTTTGGAAATTAAGGATAAACTTTTTTGTGTGTATGAATTTTAAGCCATGTTCTTTTCACTTGTAACCATATTCTCATTAACAGACTTCCCCCTAAATATACAAAAATGTTGGACTGTGGATTTTTTATACTCATCATTACCTGTGTATCTGTGAAGTAAATTCATTATAAAAACATACTAAATTTAACTTCCAACAGCCAAGATGTGTTAATTATAATTTTTAGTTTAACAATGTGTGTGATTTACTTCAAAATATGTCTGCTATTGACAGTGTGATATCAGATAAAAATTGTTTAAATTACCATTTAAGGAATTGTCCTAATCCAGAATTCATAGTCCAGGGCAGGCAGCTACATTTTCATCTGAAATACAAGCCTCAGCTATCCTTAACATGATTAACAACAGAGGTTTTGCTATTTTGCATGACTATAATTGGTTTTCATTTGTAAAACAATGGCTTATTTGTGAATGATTGTTAGAAAGGGGTGTTCACTAGTGAAATTAATAATACTGGAAATATATTGTCTGGAAAAAAAGATATTTAGAGACACCATTCTAACATGTATTAATAGACTTAAGACTCTAGCCAGTCTTGTACATGTTCTATACACCGAAGCATTGCTCTCCAGGCTTGATTCCAAACAAACCAGTTCAGAGGAGTCCTGATGCCCCATATATGCAACATGAATATTGCAATATTTGTCTTAAGTAACCTTCTAAAATTTTTTTTCAGCGTACTCCCCAAAAAACAGAAGGAGAGGGTTTTTGGAGAGATTGCTTGTAGTCTAGTTTCAGGTTATTAAAAAATATGCATCTATCTGTTTTCTACCTCATGCTGTTAGAGATCAAACGAAAAGAACCTAATAGTTTTGCATCACCAAACTCTTAATATTTTAGACCAATTCAAAACAGCCAGCTGGAGATAGGGCACTGGGGACCATGAGGAGGAGGGTTCCTGAAAGGTTCACAAAGCAGATGATATTTGAGTTGCATATTGAAAACTGAGTAGGCATTTCCCAAGTTGACAGGGAGGTGAAAGGGGAAACATTTCAGCAGGGGACAATTATATAGATTGTCCCAAGATGTGAAAGAGTGCAGATTATTTATTCAACTAAAGTATGGCTGAAACTTTGAGGTGTTAAGCTATAGATACAGGAAAAGCAAGATTATGAGGGGATCTATATAATCTACAGAAGTGTTCTTGAAGCTTTTTCTTAAACACAAGTCATAGTAAAATATTTTATATTACTCAAATTTAAACACATAAAAATTAAAATCTCACAAAAATATTACATCTTACTGGGTAATGGGTACCCAGGTCTTTTCTATTCTATTCCATTTGGTCTATTCCATTTTCTTTTATTTCATAAAAAATGTTGTTTTTAAGTAAATTGATTTTTTGACACATCATTCAGTCACTCCTACAGTATAAATACTTTTCTCTGGAGACAACCCTGTAGAAAGTTGAGAGCTACTGAAAGTTTTTAAACAAGTGTTTGTGATGTTTGCAAAGAACACTGTTCTGGTAATACAGAAAATGGATTAGAGATATAGAATTTAGCTGGAGGAAAAAAGTAGGGAATAATTACACTAGTCCAGACAAGAAATTGTGAGTGCTTGATCTAGACATTAGCTTTGTGGATTGGGACCTGGAAAATCTCAGAGATAAATGGGTAAAATTAGGAGAACTTTCTCACTGAATCTAGGTTATTGTTTGGTGGTAAGGGTGAAGGTGGGATGACATGAAAGATTTGGGACTATGTTATGGACTAATGAATTAAATAAGAGGTGTGTGTGTGTGGTCAGGGAGTAGTCCATAAAATACAGAATAAAATGCAAAATATAGAGGAGAATTTCAATTCAGTTTTCTTTATTTTCTATTAAGAGAATTTACCATATTCTGTTGTTCTCAGTGCAGTTTTGGGATTTTCCATGATTCTCTAATTTTCTTACACAGCATATTTTAGGAAGTATGCTGGCTATTTGTACCTTAGCAATTGTTTGGTTTAATGGATGCCAAACCTAATATTGCCTAAGACAGAATCCCTTTGGGAAAAGAATTCAAAGACATGCTTCACAAATTCCCCAATGGGTCATTTTAGCAATCCTGTGACTGGAACGTTGCTATCACTGCTCTTTTTTACACGTATAAAAGATGAGTGCCTGGGATTTAGTGATTTCTGAAATTCACTCTATTTGGAGGCTTAGCTGGAACTAAAATTTGTTGTTTATCACTTTCCCCCACTGAAGTGTTTTTCTTAAAACCCACATGCATTATTATTCACTAATGACCTTGACTTATACTTTTAAGATGATCTTTCTATTTCACCTTAAAATTTTCCTGTACCTTCACATTTTCAGTCTTCCTTCAAGTCTGTCAGTAAGGTGTGCTCTTCTTTATTGCTAAGACTTTTCTCTGGCTGTTTTCATGGTTCTCACCACCTTTTTTTTCTTCCAAGATCAATGTGCTGTTTCATTTGCTTTCTAGGATCGATATTTTTCAGATGCTCCACAGGCTCTTTAAGGATACTTTCTTTGGAATGTTATATTACCCCCATTTTTTTGTTGTTTAGAAACCACTTTTCTACTTTTAGTTGGCAAGGGCGGAAAACAAAATGATCTTTAGCTCTGGATAAAATACGTGTAAAACAAACCTGACCAGCCTAATTTATATATTTTAAAAGCTCATTCTTCTCAGCAAATTAAACAGCAGTAAAGATACAATTAACAACAATCTAAAATACTAAGGGGCAATACTAAAATACTAATACTAAATATTTAAACAGCAGTAAAGATACAATTAACAACAATCTGAAATACTAAATGCAATCTAAATATTAATACTGGCTCTGTCGTGTACTACCAAATTTATTTACTGAAGCTTATATTTGCTAGAAATCCAGGTTGTGTGTGTGAGAGGGAGGGGGAGCAAAGGATACAAGAGTTATTTCACTCTTTGCAATTCCTACTTATTGAAGTGGTAGATTAAATAAATATTAAATAGAATAAGGGTAGAAGTTGTGAATATTTTTGTGTTGTCAATGTAATTCACTGTGGTGTCTAGTGAATTTTATTTATGAACAAAAATCAGTAAAACTTTCTGTCCTGTCTATCTTAATTTGGAATATTTAGAGGGTGGTGATAATCTGGAAGATAACAGTAAAGTATGAGAATTGAAAAGAAAAAGCCAGGCGCAGTGGCTCATGCCTGTAATCCAAGCACTTTGGGAGGCTGAGGCAGGAGGATCACTTGAGGTCAAAAGTTTGAGACCAGCCTGGCCAACATGGTGAAACCCCATCTCTACTAAAAATATAAATTAGCCAGGCCAGGTGGCAGGTGCCTATAATCCCAGCTACTACGGAGGCTGAGGCAAGAGAATCTTTTGAACCCTGGAGGCAGAGGTTGCAGTCAGTGAGATCACATCACTGCACTCCAGCCTGGGTGATACAGTGCGACTCTGTCTCAAGGAAAAAAGAAAAAAAAAACCCAGAGAGAGAGAGAGAGAAAATTGAAAAATAAAAAAAATGGAATCTATTCAGTTTTGATATCTTAGTTTGGGGAAATTAACTGTGCTGAAGACCATTTATAAAACTACTTGAACCTCTCATTCAAACATTTCTGTCATGATTTTTTGCCAACAGGCATAACCTCAGAAGACAGGTTCTTTCCTAAGGAATATTAAAATTTGTTAGATAGAGTGGAAATAACCTAACTTAATTATATCCCCTATTAGTATAGTATATTTGTTAGATTATAAGTTATATTCTATAACCCTACATCGCGATATGTTGGAAAATTTCAAATTTCTTCATATGTATGTATGCATTGATAAGAACAACATTTTGAAAGAAACAGATATTGGTTGAATCCCGGCTCTGTTATTTACTACCAAATTTATTTTAAAATTTAATTAAAATATATATGGTTATTGTTGGATTTATGGGCTATTCATGCAAAATAATGAGGATGGTGCTAGTCACACATTAATGAGGATGGTACTAGTCACACATTAGATGCCAAATAAATAGTGGTATTTATAAGTGACTATTTTCCCAAACTTGTAGTACATTCCCTTAAGTGTCAAATGCTAACACTTGAAAAATATTTTCTAGAGAATATATCTACAAAGACCTCATGTTTCACTACCATATTTAACTGTGTAACAGAATGGAAATGTTATTTTTAAGTAGTGTCCAAAGATGCAGCATTTCTTAGAGCTGTCTTGGAGACTGTGAGTTAAGAAACAGATGAGCGTTTGCATGAGTAGACATGCTGCAACCCGGAAAAGTTATTATGGCTGCTTATCTATCAGAGTTATTTCTAAAATTTTCTTAGAATATTGCCTTTTATGGCTTTAAAATGTACAAATCCAATTGTAGTGATGCATGCCTGCAGTCCCAGCTTATTCAGGATGCTAAGGCAGGAGAATCACTTGAGGCCATGAGTTCGAGACCAGCCTACACAACATAGAGAGACCCCCCATCTCAAAGAGAAATGCACAAAAATTCAAATAAATATTAATATATCAATTTTCCAAGACTCTTTTTTGGAAACATGTAACTCATACAGAAAAAACTAGAAGAATAGTACAATTAATGCTCATATATCATCACCTAGGTCAATCAATGATTGGTAGATAAAGAGAGAGAGACTTTTTCTTTTTCTGGATCATTATGACAACTTATTCCTAAATATTTCAGTATATACTCCTTAGAACAATGCTATTTTTCTACATAAGCCTGAGACCAACATAACTTTCACACCCAACAAACATAATATTGATAGAAAATTACCATCTATTATGAAGGCCTTATTCAAAGTTTTTCCAATTGTCTCAGTTACAGTCGTTGAAGTTTTACTGAAAACTTCAGTATCCTATCTTGTTATTTAGTTGTCATGTCTCTTTATTATAAACTGAAACCATTTTCTAGCCATTCAATAACTATATATGTGTATGTGCACATATGAAAGTATCTAATAATTCCTATTTCAGCAATCATTTTTATGAACAATTGGCAGGGGATTTTGTTCTCATCCATTCCATTTAAGCAAGATGCATTTTTTCCTTAATGTGGACAGTGAATTCTGATTGCTGTTATTTTCTTTTGAATTTTTCTGAATTTTTTTTTAATTTACAGTCAGATTAATCTATGCATTGGGTGGATTTTTTGGTGCCTTCCTTATCTTATTTAATGATCAACTTTATACTGTTTTCATAGAATTTACTTAAAAGCTTTTCTTCATTTTCTGTAATTTAGAATGTAACATTGGATCTACTTAATCTTTGAAGCTTTGGTAGGATTTTTCTGTGAAACTATTTCGGTGTGCTGAGGTTTTTTGTTATTGTTGATATTTCTTGTTTTCTCATTTTTTGTAAGATAATTATTTGATAGCTTTTCTGTTTTCCTGATTTATATTTTTTATGTTTCTCTAAGAAACTGGTGGAAGCTTTAATCAAATATGATCAATCAAAAGGTCTTTATTCTAACACCACTTGGATTTCAGATTTGCTGATCTCTTTTGGGAGGTCCCAAGTGGCTCATTGATCATTTCTGATTACCATGGACTGTGGTCTTTATCTTCAGTCTTTTATTATTTACTCTTTATTCTTAGGGTAGGTGTTTGTTTTAACCAATTTAAAGCTCTCCTTAATTTAAGTACTCATCATTGCTATTACTAAGGAGAGCAGCTTCCTCCCATAAGTGATAAAAATGTTTATTAGAGAAAATGGCTGCATAATTCCACAATTCTTTGTCTCTCTAAAATAATGAATGTTCTTTTCCTGGCTGTGCTATCTGTGATTGCATTCTCTGCTGGATGCCATAAATCAAAGACTGTTTTAAATTCTTGTTGATGGAAAACTTACTTTTTGGTCAGAGTCTCAGCTGAAAATTGTTTATATCCATTTCATGGCAGCATGACAATCTCTCTCTCCTTTTATAGCTATTAAAACTCAAAACAAAACAAAACAAAAAAAAACATGTTGTTCAATTCAACTATGCCTATTTTAAAGTATTTGACTAATTTATTAAAAACTATCACCATTTTTTTCTTTCAGAGGCTTCCCCATATTCACTTCAAATAAATTTTGTTACTAATTGTGTCTATATTGTTACATTCACTGAAGTGTTTGACCCAATTCACAGTTTGCATTTCTGTGGCCAAGGCTCCCACTCAATTTTCACAACTATCCTATATATAGAAAACTGAAGAGTGAACTTCAGAATATAACATACAAGATTGGTTAATGACCAGATTCATCATTTTGAGAAATAATTCATGTTTATCAACAATTAATTCCATCAATTACATGATTGTGTGATTTCAAACGTTTTTAGTTATTTTTATAAGCTAAAGTCTTGGTACTAGAAGAAATGTCAGAGAAGTGTTTAGAAATGGTTTTATACTTAGGCAATTGCAGAATTTCCCCTAAAGGTAGTGCTAGTTCACTTACTTCTTCCATGTTATGTATTTTGTTCAAAGCATCTAAGACCAACTTGTTATGACAGTACTATTATCTTCAATGCATTACAGGATGAAGAAAGACTTTAGGGCCAATTTTATCCCTATCATATAATATTTTCTCCTCCTCCGTCCCAAATCCCATACACAAATTAGAGTGCTCTAGTGCCACCACCTACCACTTACTATAGTTACCATCTCAGTAGTGAATAGTGATGAAAGACAAAAGCTACTTCCAGGCTGTTGTTTCTTTTTTCTTCTCTCTCTCTCTCTCTCTGTCTCTCTTTACTGCTCAATAGAGAATTTCATGGTGATGCTCTGTCCTGGAGGTGTTAACGAGCAATGTGCAAACAATGTGTATAAGAGAAAACATTGTCTCTCTTTGGTCCTTTCTTCCTAGTCAAGTGCTGGATAACAAACATAAATCGTGAAAAAATAGGGACAAATTTTAGTCATTTTTATATTCTCATTGACAAACGGACAAGATGAAGTCATTCCTTGAAAGAGTAAGATCATTATATCAAATATATTCCTTATAGCTTTTAAGATCCCTCAATGTCACTTAAATTGTTGCAGGAAGTCTGTGGCTTATTGATAACTGGTTTGTTTTTATTTCTATAAGAGAGTATGGCAAATAGTGCATTAAGTGACAGAGCACTTGGACTTTAAGTGCTTCTAGCATCCAGACTGCTGTCCTGAAATTATTGTGCACTTTGGAAATGATTTCTTCTTGTATATAATCTGTTCTTTCTAAATTAAGAGTCAGAAAACTACCAACCTTGGGCCAAATCTAGCCTTCTGCCTGTTGTTATAAATAAAGTTTTATTTGAACACAGTAATGCCCATCTGTTTAGGTACTTCTGGCTGCTTTCCTGTTATAATGGCAAGGCTGAAAAATTGCAACAGATAACACACATAACCTGCAAAGCCTAAAGTATTTACTTTCTATGCTTCTATAGGAAAAGTTTGCCAACCCTTGCAGTAAATTGTTGTACTTTGGTTCCCTTGTAAAGCAGCTTCTCTTGCCCTGTTTCTATTCTCTGTTCTTTTATGATTTAAATACTGCTTGTAGAAAAATAATTACCAAATGAGGGATAGAATAAGAAAGGCTTTCTATATTGCTACTCACTGTTATATATGAAAATGAATAACAGATTCAGTTATCTTTCCTCTATGTCCTCAACTTCAAGGGGGCATTAGTAATAGATTCATGATAGATGGGCAGATTATAGATATAGATATATATATGAGCTATATATATAGATGATTTATCCATATGGATTCCCAATGTGATTTATAATTTTTTTCAATCAACTTTACAAACAAAATCTCATTTCCCAGATCCTGTCAGATTCTTGTTTCTTAATAACTCACTCAAATGTAACAAGTTAGCTCTTAGCCCATTTTTATCTGTTTTATCACCAAACCAACCTCATATTTAATTTATAATATCTTACATAATTGGGGTATTAGCTGTCCATGATACATTGGTCACATGTGGCAATTTTGTCCTCCATCAAGGAATCCAAATTAGATATTTTACAGAAATACAATTGTCTAAATCAGGAAAGAAACGCAGAACAGGAAGATTAACATTGAAGGGGAAATATGAAAGCATATTTGAAAGACTGTGTGTTAGTTTAAATGTGTCTTAGCAGACAGAAAAAGCTACAATCTGATAAGTAAATAGGGGGCTAATTTGCCATTAAGAGATCCAAAGTGGAAAGCCATTAGGGAAACAACTGGGGAAATCTTAATAAAATCTTATTTGTTTTGATAAATACGTTGTGTTATGAGACAGGTTAACATGAAGAGAATAAGTTGGGTGAACTATTTTTGTAATTCTTTTATAAACCTAAAATTATTTCAAGATAAGTTGTTTTAAAAAGACACTTTCATCTCATTAAACAGTTCAGCACCTAGTAGGGAAACACACAGATAGAAATGCAAAGAAAAAAATATCAATAGTAATGAATATCATGCCACAAAAGCTCTGATAATGGTTTCCCCAAGGTACCACGGAAACCCAAGGTAATTATTGATAACCCAAATCATACTATGTGAAATGGAAGCAGCTAGATATCAGGCACGCCTTCTTGGAAAAGATGTTTCCACACTTTATTGGAAAAAATGAGTAAGATATATCAAGGATCTATAGTCTGAATTTGTTCCCTAAAAATCCCCTTGTACCAGTATTGCGAGAAGGGGCCTTTGAGGAGTGTTCAGATCATCAGTGATTTGACCTCATGAATGCTACAGGGCATTAGAAATGTGATTAAGAATGGAAGGGTTTAAATACTATTAACTGAGTAAAACTCAGGATAATTTAGTATCATTTGGATTTGGGGTTGTTGAAATAGGAATATCTAGAATGAACCTAGATGATTACTAGAAAACTAGGTGCCAAAAAGTACCAGTCACCAACATTTAGAAAAAAAGGGATAAGCAGGTTTAGTTGCAGGGAATGACTGCAGAGAATCATTTCCATTTTTACCTGTTATTTTCAACTAGACACAAAATTATTTTAAGAGGCTGGTAAAACTCAGCAGAGTCACCCTACATTAGCTATAAATTTAGAAATCATTTTCCACTTGAAAATATGGAATTAAATATATTTACATAGGGAAAGTTTAAAGTAAAGAGAACAAACAAAAATGAAACTCTGGGCAAACCAACCTTTGAGTAAAGTGAAGGAAGATAACCCTGCAAAGGAAATTAAACAAATCTAACACAAAAAAAGGAGGAGAAACAAAGCAAAAGTTAGTGGTTTCCCAGGAGGTAAAAGAAAAAAGTTTCAAGAGAAAAGGAGAGGCCAAAACTCGCAAATATTCTGGGTATCAAATGATAAAATGATTAAAAATATTTGGGGTTTGTAACTAGCAACTTATTGATAAACTTAAGAAAGCTATTTTAGAAGTCAGAATGAGGTGTATTGATTGGATAAAGAAATACAGAAGAGTTGACCCTATTGACTTTTATATGCAAATGATAAAAATACCATTAAAAGGTTATTTATGATTGTATAAATTGTAAGCACATGTATATAATGATTACAAAGTGCAAGTAGAGAGGCTGGAGAAAGGAGAAAAAGAGAGAATTCATGGTAGAAAAGTCCCCTGAGGATCTTAAATGAAATTGAGTCCTCGCCCCAAGTGCCAATTTTATTGTTGATCAGGAGACAAGATGTCTTTAATATATAAAGACCAATAGAGAAGAGATAATCAAATAAATTTTAATAGAACACTTCCCTGAGCCAAATAAATACTTCAGACTAAAATGACTTAGCTTGTTGGGCACCTTTAATATGAGAGATAAATATCTATTTGAAACAACTTCAGCAATGTGTTTAAATTGAAAAATAAATACAATTTCAGGCCTTGAAAAAGATAAAAGAGGTATACTATTTCCTTCTACTGTATCTGCAATACAGAGAACAAGAAAGGCTAAAAAACATGTACAGTTTGTGAGATAAAAATAACTGTGATCTCATTCATGATTTGGCTCTCTGCTTGTCTATTGTTGGTGTATAAGAATGCTTGTGATTTTTGTATATTGATCTAGTATCCTAAGACTTTGCTGAAGTTGCTTATCAGCCTAAGCAGATTTTGGGCTCAGATGATGGGATTTCCTTGATATACAATCATGTCATCTGCGAAGAGAGACAATTTTACTTCCTCTCTTCCTATTTGAATGCCCTTTATTTCTTTCTCTTGCCTGATTGCCCTGGCCAGAACTTCCACTACTATGTTGAACAGGAGTGGTGAGAGACGGCAGCCTTGTCCTGTGCTGGTTTTCAAAGGGAATGCTTCTAGCTTTTGCCCATTCAGTATGATATTGGCTGTGGGTTTGTCATAAATGGCTCTTATTGTTTTGATATATGTTCCATCAATACCCGGTTTACCAAGAGTTTTTAACATGAAGGGATGTTGAATTTTATCAAAGGCCTTCTCTGTGTCTACTGAGATAATCATGTGGTTTTTGTCATTAGTACAGGTAATGTGATGAATTATGTTTATTGATTTGCATATGTTGAACCAGCCTTGTATCCCAGGGATGAAGCTAACTTGATTGTGGTGGATATGCTTTTTGATGTGCTGCTGGATTTGGTTTGCAGTATTTATTCAGGATTTTCACATCAATGTTCATCAGGGATATTGGCATGAAGTATTCTTTTCTTTTCTTTATTTCTTCTTAATTAAAAAGAAAAGGACACATGCGCAAAACGTGCAAATTTGTTACATAGGTCTATGTGTGCCATGGTGGTTTGCTGCACCTATTGACCCATAAGTTTTCTTTTTTTGTTGTATCTCTGCCAGGTTTTAGTATCAGGATAATGTTGACCTCATAAAATGAGGTAGGGAAAAGTCCCTACTTTTCAATTGTTTGGAATAGTTTCAGAAGAAATGGTACTGGCTCCTCTTTGTATCTCTGATAGAATTCGGCTGTAAATTCATCTGGTCCTGGGCTTTTTTTCATTGGTAGGCTATTTATTACTGCCTCAATTACAGAACTTGATATTGGTCTATTCAGGGATTCAATTTCTTCCTGGTTTAGTCTTGGGAGGGTGTATGTGTCCAGGAATTTATCCATTTCTTCTAGGTTTTCTAGATTATTTGCATAAAGATTTTTTTTCCAAGAGTCATTTGAATTTATTTGTATGTTAAAACGCTAAAGAAATATGTAGTATTTCATTCAAAATTTTTCACTTTGTCTACGGAGCCAAACTGCAGATAATTGTACTTGTAGCTCTTAGTAAACATATTATGTATTTAAAAACACATATTTCTCAATTTAAAGAATTTTGCAATCAAAGAAGCTAAGACTATCATGCTATTACTAAGAGCTGCATAGAGATATTTATAGTATTCTCTGATTGTTGTTTGTGTTTCTGCAGTGTCTGTGGTGATATCCCCTTTATCATTTTTATTGTGCCTATTTGATTCTTTTTTCTTCTTTATTAGTCTAGATAGCAGTCTATCTATTTAATTAATTTTTTCAGGAAAAAAACAGGTCCTGGATTCATTTATTTTTTGAAGGTTTTTTTGTGTCTCTATCTCTTTCAGTTCCACTCTGATCTTCGTTATTTCTGTCTTCTGCTAGCTCTGGATTTGTTGGTTCTTGCTTCTCTAGTTCTTTCAGCTGTGATGTTAGGGTGTCAGTTTGAGCTCTTTCTAGCTTTCATATGTGGGCATTTAGTGCTATAAATTTCCCTCTTAACACTGTTTTAGCTTTGTTCCAGAGATTCTGGTACATTGTCTCTTGGTTCTCATTGGTTTCAAATAACTTCTTGATTTCTGTCTTAATTCCATTATTTACCCAGGTGTCAATCAGGTGCAGGTTTTTCAATTTCCATGTATTTATGTGGCTTTGAGTGAGTTTCTTAATCTTGAGTTCCAGTTTGATTGCACTGTGGTCTGAGAGACTGTTTGTTATTATTTCAGTTCTTTTGCATTTTCTGAGGAGTGTTTTACTTCCAATTATGTGATCAATTTTAGAGTAAGTGTCATATGGCACTGTAAAGACTGTATATTCTGTTGTTTAGGGGTGGATAATTCTGTAGATATCTATCAGGTCCACCTGATCCAGAGCTGAGCTCAAGTCCTGACTAACTGTATTAATTTTCTGTCTTGATGATCTGTCTAATATTGACAATGGGGTGTTAAATTCTCTCACTATTAGTGTGTGGTGATCTAAGCCACTTTGTAGGTTTCTAAGAACTCCCATTCACAATTGCTACAAAAAATAAAATACCTAGGAATACAGCTAACAAGGGATGTGAAGAACCTCTTCAAGGAGAACTACAAACTGCTGCTCACAGTAATAAGAGAGGACACAAACAAATGGAAAAACATTCCATGCTCATGGATATGAAGAATCAATATTGTGAAAATGGCCATTCTGCCTAAAGTAATTAATACATTCAATGCTATTCCTATCAAGCTACCAGTGACTTTTTTTGCAGAATTAGAAAAAACCTACTTTAAATTTTATATGGAACCAAAAAAGAGCCTGCATTGCCAAGATAATCCTAAGCAAAAAATAACAAAGCTTGAGGCATCATGCTACCCAACTTCAAACTATACTACAAGGCTACAGTAACCAAAACAACATGGTACTGGTACCAAAACAGACACAGACCAATGAAACAGAAAAGAGACCTCAGAAATAATACCACACATCTACAACCATCCGATCTTTGACAAACCTGACAAAAACAAGTAATAGGAAAAGGATTCTCTACTCAATAAATGGCTCTGTGAAAACTGGTTAGCCATATGCAGAAAATTGAAACTGGACCCCTTCCTTACATCTTACACAAAAATTAACTCAAGAGGGATTAAAGACTTAAATGTAAAGCCTCAAAATATAACAACTCTAGAAGAAAACCTAGGCAATACCATTCAGAATATAGGCAAGGGAAAAGATTTCATGACCAAAACATCAAAAGCAATTGAAACAAAAGCAAAAGTTGACAAATGGAACCTAATTGAACTAAAGAGCTTTGGCACAGCAAAAGAATCTATCATCAGAGTGAACAGGCAATCAACGGAATGGGAGAAAACAGTTGCAATCTAACCATCTGACAAAGATCTAACATCCAGAATCTACAAGAAACATAAACACATTTACAAAAAAAAAAAAAAAAACCCTATCAAAAAGTGAGCAAAGGACATGAACAGACACTTCTCAAAAGAAGACATTTATGAGGCCAACTAATATATGAAAAAAAGCTCAACATCACTGATCATTACAGAAATGCAAATTAAAACCACAATGAGATACCATCTCATGCCAGTCAGAATGGCAATTATTAAAAAGTCAAGAAACAACAGATGCTGGTGAGACTGTGAAGAAACAGGAACACTTTTACACTGTTGGGGGGAATGCAAATTAGTTCAATCATTGTGGAAGACAGTGTGTTGATTCCTCAAGGACCTGGAACAAGAAATACCATTTGACCCAGAAATCCCATTATTGGGTATATACCCAAAGGAATATAAATCATTCTATTATATAAAGATACATGCATGTGTTTTTATTTTATTGCAGCACTATTCACAATAGCAACAACATGGAATCAACCCAAATGCCCATCAATGATAAAACAGATAAAGAAAATGTGGTACATAAATACCATGGAATACTATGCAGTTATAGAAAGGAATGAGATCATATCCTTTGCAGGGACATGGATGAAGCTGGAAGTCATTATCCTCAGTAAAGTAACACAGGAACAGAAAATCAAACATGACATGTTCTCACTCATAAGCAGGAGCTGAACAATGAGAACACATGGACACAGGGAGGGTAACAACACTCACTGGGGGCTGTTGGGGGAGGACAATGTGGTGACAGCATTAGGGAAAATAGCTAATGCATGCTGGGTTTAATACCTAGGTGACAGGTTGATAGGTGCAGCAAACAAGGTGGGGAGAGCATTAGGGAAAAGAGCTAATGCATGCTGGGCTTAATACATAGGTGATGAGTTGATAGGTGCAGCAAACCACCCCATGGCACATGTTTACTTATGTAATTAAACCTGCATGTCCTGCACATATATACCAGATCTAAAATAAAATACAAATTTTGTAAAAGCCCTGAGATCTAATAACCTTATTCTTTCACAGACATACAAAGACTGAAATGGACTTTCATGCTTTTAAGAAGAAATTACTTAATGTCCCAGAAAAATGGCATGCCCTCTGTCATTTCATTCAAGATTGTTCAAATGTCACCCTTTAAAGAATGTTTTTTTAAACACTCTTAATAATGTTTCATTACTCCCTATCTCTTAACCCTGTCTGATTTTCTTGATATAAGTTTTCATCACCAAATAATACAGTGTATAGTTGTTTGTCTGCATTTCTTACTGCAGTTTCTGCACTGCCTAAAACAGCATCTGGAATCTGAGTGCTTAGTAAAATATATATACCAATGGCAGAAAATAAACTTTATGGTCTTTACTGTCTTTTACAAGTAGTAGAGGATATTTTCTGCTTAAAAAAAAAGAGAGAGATAATGTAAGGAACTTATAAACATGAGGAAAGTGATCCAAGTTTTTAATTGTTTTGGAGAGTTGAAAAGGTAATTAAATATAAGAAGCCAAAGGGATGCTGAAGGTCATTTATTGGTTCATTTACTCATTCGTTCAGCTACATTTACTGAGTTCTTACTATATTAACATCATCTCTTCCCTCTTGCCCTCTCAAGGACTTTACTCTTTGGGTTCTTTAAGATTTGCATCATTTCTTTCTCTCTTTCTCAGTCATTACTGTCTTCCTTTTTATTGAGTGTTTCCATAGTCATGTAAACATGCGCTAGGAAATAGTATTCTATAGTGTTTTTCCTCTAACTCCACATCCCGCCTCAATCTCTACTTATTTTTTTCTGCTGCCCATCACAACCAAATATCTCCAGTTACATTATTACATCATCCACTATTTTTTAAATGTGGTAGAAGTTTTAAACTTTCAAGAATATAGTAACTCATGTACTATGAACACGTGCAATGCCAAAACTATAATTAACAAATATTAATATTTTGTCATATTGCTTGTGACTTTTGTCCATCAGTGGATGAATGCATAAAGAAAATATGGTACATATACACAAAAGGATACTACTGAGCTTCAAGAAAGAAGAAAATCCTGTCATTTGTGACAACATGGATTAACGTAGAGGATATTATGTTAAGTAAAATAAGCTAGTCATACAAAAATAGATACATAGACCAAAGTAACAAAATAGAGACCCCTGAAGTAAAACCACACATCTGCCACCAACAGATTTTCAACAAATTTGACAAAAACAAACAGTGGGAAAAGAATACCCTACTTAATAAGTAGCGCTGGGAAAACTGGCTAGCCATATGCAAAAGAATGAAACTGAGCCCTTACCTCTCACCATATATAAAAATTAACTCAAGATGGACTAAAGACTTTTAAATGTAAGATGCCAAACTGTAAAAGTCCTGGAGGAAAACCTAGGAAATACTGTTTGGGACATCAATCTTGGCAAAGAATTTTTAAGTCCTTAAAAGCTAATGGAACAAAAACAAAAATTGACAATTGGGACCTAATTAAACTAAAGAGCTGCACAGTGAAAGAAACTATCAACAGAGTAAACAGGGAACCTACAGAATGGGAGAAAACATTTGCAAACTATGCATCTGACAAAGGGCTAATATCCAGAATCTATAAGGAACTTAAACAAATCAAATAAAGAAAAACAAAGAAGTTATATTTATATATGCTATAATATTAGTTAATAATCAAGCTTATTTCTGAAATAATGCTTAATTCGAAGGGAAAATAAAAATGGAAAGAATATAGAAAACAATGAACCATAAACACAAGAATGCAGATATCTCTGATATACTAAATTTCTTGCTTACATATTCACCCAGAAGTGGGATCCCTGGATCATATGGTAGCTCTGTTTTTAGTGTTTTGAGAAACCTCCTGTTTTCCATGGTGGCTGTATTAATTTACGTCCCTACCAACATTGTACCCGGGTTTTCTTTTCTCCACACTCTCCCCAGCATTTGTTATTGCCTATCTTTAGGATAAAAGCCATTTTTAACCAGGGTAGGATAATATCTCAAGGTAATTTTGATTTGGATTTCACTTGTGATTAATGATGTTGAGCATTTTTTTCATATGCCAATTACCCATGTATATGTCTTCTTTTGAGAAATGACTATTCAGTTTATTTTGTTCATTTAAAAATCAGATTATTTATTTTTCTACTATTCAGTTTTTTGAGTTATTTATGCATTCTGGTTATTAATCCCTTGCCAGATATTTTGCAGATATTTTCTTCCATCCTGTACATTGCCTCTTCACCTTGATTGTTTTCTTTGCTGTGCAAAAGCTTTTTAGCTTGGTGTGATACCAATTGTCCATTTTTAATTCAGGCGTTTGTGCTTTTGAGGTCTTAGTCAAGAAATCTTTGCCCAGAACAACGTCCTGAAGCATTTATCAATGTTTTCTTCCAGTAGTTTTATTGTTTCAGGTCTTATATTTAAGTCTTTAATCCATTTTATTTTATATTTATATATGGTTAAATATAGGGGTCTAGTTTCATTCTTCTGCATACGGATATCCAGTTTTTCCAGAACAATTTGTTGAAGACTACCCTTTCCTGAGTGTATGTTCTTGGCACCTTTGTTGAAAATGTGTTGATTATAAATGTGTAGATTTATTTCTGGGTTCTATATTCTATTCCATTTGTCTACATGTCTGTTTTTATGCCAGAATCATTCTATTTTGGGTTTGTAGTATAATTTGAAGTCAGGTAATGTAATGTTTCCAATTTTATACTTTTTGTTCAGTGTTACTTTGGCTATTTTGAGTCTTCTGTGATTCTTATAAATTTTAAGATTTTTCCTATTTCTGTGAGAAATTTTGTTGGTATTTTAATAGGAATTGTATTGAATCTATAAATCAGTTTGGGTGGTGTGGACATTTTAACAATATTGGCTCTTCTATTTATGAACATGGGGTTTCTTTCCATATTTTTTATGTCTTCTTCAATTTCTTTCATCAATTTTTTATAGTTTTGATTGAAGAGATCTATTGCTTCTTTGGTTATATTTATTCCTTGGCATTTTATCTTATTTTTTGTAAGTGCATTGCTTTCTTCATTTCTTTTTCAGATTGTTCGCTGTTTGCATATAGAAATTCTTCCAAGTTTTGTGTGTTGATTTTGTATCCTGTAGCTTTACTTAATTCATTTATCAGTGCCAATCATTCATTAATCTTTAGATTTTTCTAAATATAAGATCATATTGTCTGAAAACAAGGACATTTTGACTTCTTTCTTTCTTATTTAGATGTCTTTTATTTCTTTCTCATGTCTAATTGCTCTGGATAATATTTCCAGTACGACATTGAATAAAAGTGGTAAAAGTGGGCATCCTTGTCTTGTTCCAGATTTTAGAGGAAAGACTCAGATTTTCTCCATTCAGTATGATGCTAGCTGTGGGAAATGCCCATCAAGGGATGCATAGATAAAGAAAACGTGTTATAGATACATGATGGAATATTATTCCACCATAAGAATAAAATCCTGTCATTTGTAATAACACAGACTGAACCAGAGGACATTAGGTTAAGTGAAATAAGCCAGGCATAGAAAGAAAAATGTCACATGTTCTCACATATAAATGGGAGCTACAAAAAATTAATCTCATGAAGGTAGTAAATAAAATCATGGTTACTAGAGTGTGGGAAGGGAAGTGGGGAGAAGGAGAGTAAGAGTTGTTAATTAATGGGCACAAAAATACAGTCAGATAGAAGAAATAAGATGTAGTGTTTGGTAGCACAGTAGGATGACTATAGTTAATAATAATTTATTGTATCTCAAAATTGCTTGATAGGTAGATTTGGAATGTTTACAAATAAAAAAATAAATGTTTGAGATAATAGATATCCCAATTATTCAGACTTGATTATTACACATTGCATGCTTTTCTCAAAATGTCACATGCACCCCATGAATATGTATAAGTATTATGTATCCATAAAAATTAAGAAAGTGATGATACTAAAACAAATGTGTATTAGAACCTATGAAGTCTAGCTAAAATATGCCCTATAAGGGCAAACACAAATTAGAAATAAGAGTCTTAATTTTCCCTATTGAAAATAAGAGAAGAGACTTCCTCCTTCCCCCTTTCCTTGTCTTAGAGCATTCACTTTAAATAATGTGTCAGTTCTTTCTTTGTCCCCTTGAAATGATGTAAATATTTTAAACTGCTAAATAAATAATTGGACAAATAAAAATTACCACCTTTACAACCCATGCATGGATTTCTCAAAAACCAGAAAGCCATCTCTTTGACATATAATCATCAAAAAGGACACTATTCCATTTTGTGGGGAGAACAACAGCCAAATTTTTTGCAGACACCTTGGTGCATAACTACTTTTAGTCATAAAGATTTGAGCCTTTTATTTTTATTTTGGATAAAGCCAATTAACACCGACAGCCATGCAAATTACCAGGTGACAACTGGATAAACTGGGCATGGCCAATAGTGCAGTCCAGTCCTCATACTTCAAAACTAGCTGTTTTCTTGAGAACATGTCTGTTATTGGTTCTATCGGCTTATCTATATAAAAGGGTGATATTTTATTATATCTGAAATCCTCTTAGATTACCTGTGCTGCACCTCACACTCTAATTCAATGCTAATTCAATAATAAAATTATTTTATTTCTCTTATGCCATTGTGGAAAGCTTTTCTGAGTTGGGAAGAGATTTTGCTTTTAATTGTAATTCCCCTACACCAGTGGAAGATCCAGTGCTTAAGTACTGACATTACAGAAACTCAAAAGAAAAAAGACTAATAATTAAAGCTATTTGTCAATGTTTTTTACCATGTTAATAAATCAGAAGACATAATTATACAATTACCTCCCTTATTATTTTTAATAAGAATTATTAACATTCATTTGGAATTAATTTATTTTATGTGGTTCTTTCTTTGCTCTGCTCTCTTGATTCTCAATCTTTATTTTTCTTTAATTCATTTTTTATTTCATTTAAAGCATCTCCTAAGTTATTCTTAGGAGAATATCAGATGTAATAACCTTTCTGATTCTATGCACATCTGAAAATAGTTTTGTTTTTTATCACACTGAGTGGCTCTGAATAGGATTTATAAACCAAAAACAAAATTCTAAGCCTCCCAACCATCTGAACTGACCACTTCCTTGGCCAAGGGGATCCCAAAGAAACCTGAAAAACTAGTTCAGGTGATGATGGGAAGGGAGGTTGGACATGCCCTTACACCCCCTCCCTTTGGAGTTTAGGCACAACTGACCAGCAATAACATTAAAATAGAGTGCATAAGATGGACAAAACAGATTCTTTGTTGCAATAAGATAACTAATTCCAACCTGATTCTGGTATAGTACCACAAGACAGACAGTGGTTCCTGAGAGAAATCAAAGTATTTTACTCCAAAATATATTCATTTGACATATTTTGATATGACTTTGCAAGATTGTCTTGTGTGGAGGAATTTTGCATTCTCTAGAGAATCTCCTTCCCTTTGTAGGTCTTTTCTGGATCTTTTTAAGGTCGGAAGAGAGAGATTTACCAACTACTCTCTCTGCAGCCTGCTACTTGGAGGCTTCATCCTCTTAACAAGAACCTTGGCTTCTACAACTCCCCTTATCTTAACTCAAGTGTTTCTTTTTATTTGTTTTTTCAACTTTTATTTTAGAATCAGGGGTTACATGTGAAGGATTATTACAGAGGTATATTGCATGGTGCTGAGGTTTTGGATATGACTGAATCAGTTTCCCTGGTATTCAGCATAGTACCCAATAGGTAGTTCTTCAGCCCTTGGCCCCATCCCTCTCTCTCTGCTGTAGTACTCCTCATGCCTATTGTCTCATCTTTATGTTTATGTGTACTGCATGTTAGCTCTAACCTATAAGTGACACCAAAAGTATCTGGGTTTTCTGTTTCTGCATTAATTCAATTAGTTAAGGCCTCCAGCTGTATCCATGTTGCTGTAAAAGACATGATTTTGTGTATATGTATCACATGTTCTTTATCCAATCCACTGTTGATGGGCACTTAGGTTGTTTCCATGTTTTGGCTATTGTGAATAGCACTGTGATGAACAGACAGGTGCATGTGTCCTTTAAAGAAATCACAAATAACAAAAATAAATAGAAAAACGTTCCATGCTCATGGACTAGAAGAATCAATAACATTAAAATTGCCACACTGTCCAAAGCAATATGCAGATTCAATACTATTCCTTCCTCAAGCATTTCTTTCTGCTGACTTCAACTCTAGGCAAAGCTTAACTCTTTTCAACCAAATAGCCAATCAGAAAATCTTTGGATCCACCTATGACCTGTAACTCACTCCCACCTCCAGCTTCCAGGTATCTCACCTTTCTGGGCTATCTATACTTTACATGTATTGATTTATGTCTTTGCCTATAGCTTCTTTCTCTCTAAGATACGTAACCACACCATACCCCAACCATCTCAGCCACATGTTCTCAGGACTGCTTGAGATTATACCCCAGGTCATGGTTACTCATATTTGGCTTAAAATAAGCCTCTTTAAATATTTTACAGAGTTTGTTTTTTTATCAACAGATTCTAAATTCAAATTGTTTTTTTCCTTTAAACCTTTCTCAACATTGTTCTATTGTCTAGAAGCACTGGATCTTACAAATAAAAAAAGGTAGAAGCATTTCTGATTTTGGTTTGTAGGTCTCTTTGGAATTTGTTGTCATCTTTAATAATTTTAATTTTATCATTGGTGTTGAAAATTCACTAAAATCCATCTAGATATAAATAGTTGTTCATTCTTCCTGTTATTTAGTGAGCATTTTCATCTGAAAGTTTATATTTCTTAAATATTAGCAGTTCTTTTTCTATTTGCTTTTCTTCCCCTTTACTCATTCTTATTTTTCCTTCTGTTATTCTGTCAAATAAATACTGGAATTTTAGGGTAAATACTCAATTTTTAAACTATCTCTTTTGTATTTACTAGTCTTATAATTTTGCAGTAATTTCAGGGAGAATCCTCTGTTCCAATTTTCCAAGTCACTGAAGATTGGGCAATCAAGTTATACAGTTATTTTATTGGGATATTTTCCATGATCATAAAATTGTTACTTTAAAAATTCTTTATTTATTTTCATAGATGCCATATTTTCCTCAACTTTTCAGAGAGCGTTCAGCTTAATTTTTTTTGTTGCTTATATGTTAGTGTTCTTAGTTGAGTCAGTTGCTTCTCTTCATGCTGCTTGTCTTTCTCAAAAGTTTTGTGATTCTTGATTGTCTGTGTATCATTAAGATTTGAAATATCTTATTTCCCAGATTTGGCACTTTAGGCTACACTGGTCATGTTAAGGGGTCGTATGAGAGATTCCTGGGGTCCTCGGCAGGCATTTTGTCTTCTGCTTATAGAGGCTTTCCATTACTTGTGAATATATGTTTCTACACTAGACATTGCCTGTGTTTAAGCCCCAGTTCCCACACTCAATGATTTGGTTTGGTAAAAATATTACTGCCCACAGCTCAACAAGAAGGTAGGTGGGAGGAGCCATGGCAGCAGAGGAACTCCCATATCCATGCCACCTTCTATTTGTGATCCTAAGCATTTCCTGCTTCATTTATCTGCTGCTTCAATGTTTAGGAATTTCTGGAATGGTCCTAATGTTCCAGTAGTCTCTTACTGTAAATGCCTTGAGCTGTGATTTTTCTAGCTTTAGTTCTCTTCCACTTATAACTGATGTTTTTTGAATTTTTTTCCAGGAATATGTCAATATTTGTGGTCCATTTATAACATTCTAGTTTTGCATGACTACTATAGTGTGGATAGTTCTGTAATATCTATGCCATTTTAGATTACATTGGACAAACAAAAATTTTTTTAAAGTCTTGCCAATTTCTTCTTTACCTCTTGATAATTCCAATGATCAGCAGATTTTAATTTATATAAAGTTGTTATCTTATATCTTTCAAATAGCATTATATAATATATGATGAATTTCTGTATTTCATACATACTTCAAAGTAAAAGCACTTATTTGGAAATTATTAAATATATTTTCTTAAAATACATGTACTTCAGAAATTAACATACCCTAAAACTATATTATATACAGATAGTAGGATAACCTGAATGTGTTTATATTAAAACCCAGAATTTCATTTAAAAAGAAGGAATGTGGGGAGAATGCAGAACAGAAAACAGCATGATGACACTTGTCTCAGATGTATCCTTTCTTCTCTGAGCCTTATGGTAAGAGTGAGCTGCTGGCTAAGCTAAATGGGACATTTCTACTAGAAACTGTGAGAAAAGAGGGTACAAGGAGTACTACATGTTTTTCCAGGTAGCAAAGTGTTAACTCAAGTGAGGAAAAGAAATATTTTGTATACTTCTTGACAAACCAAAAATGGCTTCAAGGCTTCAGCACATTGAGGAAACAAGAGACCAGAATGGCAAATTAGCACCTTGTAAGTCTGCAAGCTTGGAAGCATCTACAGCAGCCTTAGCAGAGGCATTGTTGGGCCCAGTGGATAGTAGCAGTAGTGACAGAATAGAGACTCCAACCTCAAATGCCTGCTCAGGTTAGAGAATATCTAACATTTAACACTGAACCTATGTGAGACATTCCCAGAAACTGAAACTTTGCAGGTAAAATCTTACAGCAATTCATTGTGTCCAGAGCCAACAAAATACCGATTATAAAATAAAATTATCACATGGTTAGAATGTATAACTACTAGCAAGATACATGAGGTTCTTTAAGTTGTTTTGCTGCAGAAATTACCATCTTATAAATTTTTGCAGTGTTATTCTATCATCGTGATTACATAAAAATGCAATTTATAAGGCTTTTTCCATGGACCTAAATCCTGTCATAAATTTGCAATCAATATTGTACTTAATAACAACCAGGATGGAAATTATACACACACATACATAAACACTCACACACACACACACACACACACACACACACACACACAGATTTATTTTAGGGAATGAGATCATGCAATTATGGGAACCGGCAAGTTTGAAATCTATACGGCAGGCTGAAAATTCAGGTAAAAAGTTGATGTTGTAGTCCTGAGTCATAAACCTATAGGGCTGGTGAGCAGACTGGAAATGTGGGCAGTATTTCTACATCGCAGTTTTGCAGCAGCATTCTGTCTTCTCTGGGAAACCTCAGTTTTTGCTTTGAAACTCTTCAAATAATTAGAGGAGGCCTACTCCCATTATGGAGGTAATCTTTTTAACTTAAAGTCAACTGATTATAAATGTTAGTCATATCTACAAAATACCGTTACAGCAAAATCTAGACTAGCGTTTGACCAAACAACTGGGCACCACATCCTAGCCAAATTGACACACAACCATCACACATATCTAAAATCTGAATCTGACTCAAAAGTGATTGCAACTTAAAATATAAGTTGGCCTAGTGGCAATCTTGAATGAGTTGTCATTGCTTGTTCATATACAAATAATAAAAGCTTTACTGTCATTTTTTTTTCAGAATAAATATCCGTGCTCTGGAGGAAATTCTGGAGAAGAATAACTTTTAGGAACCAAATTTTTATCAATATTGATAGGGAGATGGAATCATCAGACCATTTAACATTCCCAAAGCAACAGTACAAAGTAGAATACTTCCACTGACTTGCAAAGCCAGTTTAAAAACCAGCAACAATGGTTTTGTCATTTTTTTATAGATTACTTTAGAAAATTTGTATTAAAAACTAACCCTCATAATGGCATGAAAAGTATTTTGGGGGAATAACAGATGTTACCAGCTCGAAATTTAAACAGGATTCAAAGGATAACCAATTGCTATTATCTTCCATTGTATGTATTAACAATAATAATATACATTAAAATTATGCATAGTCTAAAAGTTATCTTTCAAAATTGATAAAATAAAAATTGTAAAAACAGAAAGCATTGCTATACTTTAATTCCTAGCATTTTTAAAATCTGATACAGTATACAAAATACTGTTGCATCTTACAGTATTAAATGAACATGTCATGGTAAATACAAGGACACACTTAAAATATGATGACATTTTGTATATCAAAATCAAAAACTGTGTCTACTTTATATAGACAGTATCTTCTCTGTTTATATGTCAAGCTAATGTTAAGAAGTCTGATCCATATGGCCTGTTACAACAGTGTATCATGCTAAGAAAACAGCCAAGTTATTTCCAGTACACTTAAAGAATTAATTTGTGTTCTAAATGATTTGGTTAGTTAAGTTACTTGAACTACTAAGAAGTCTCTGTCAATAATTCTCAGGCTTAACTAGGTGAAATAGAAAAGAAAGAATTTGGGTGTAATAAGATGGTATGAATTGGTTAGTAGAGTTGAATTTAGAGTTTCATTCCTTTGTTTCTAAAAATTTTTAAAGAAAACTTTTCTAACCTTATGTATTTTAAAAGTTAGGAAAAATATAAGCTTCTACTACATTTTAAGAGAATGCAATGGATCCATCAAAACTGGCAAAAAAAATTAGTCAAGCAAGATTACAATGCAATACAAAAATCATAATTTTTAAGGAAATCGATATTGCTGTTTTATCTTTGCATATTCCTGTTAATTTTTATTGTTTTATTTCATTTCATATTTTAAATTTAATTGTAGTAAAAATACTGATCTACCCTCTTAAATTTTTAAGTATACATTACATTATTGTTGACTACAGATACCATGTTGTACAGCAGATATCTAGAGCTTATTTATCTTGCTTGACAGAAACTTTATGCCTATTGATTAGTAATTTCCTGCTTGTTTTATTTCGTATTGTTTACTTTTTGTATGTGGCTAGTCATTACCTTGGTCCAAAATGGTAACGTGTGAGTTGCCCTATATATTATTTTCATTCAAGGAGTCAGAGGGTATTTAATCTTTATGTCCTAGCAGATGAAAATATTTGGGTACATGCTACATTTCAATGAAAAATGAGACCAGACATTAAAGACAGAAGAAAGGAGACTTCATAGAAATAAATGGTGAGTTATTAGTTTGAAATGTTTATGGTGGATAATTATAACTAAAATTTGAGTAAGAGTAATAGTTATAAATTTATTTGAAGAACGATACTATAATGGAAATTCCATAATAACCCAGAACAAAATATATTTCTAGAAAGACAAATTTATCATTTAAATTTAACACATCACTTGAGAAAAAATACAATGAAGGTAACGTTAAAAATGTATTATTTACCTTAATAAACTTGAATGCTTTGAATTTCTAAACCAAAAGATGAAATATTCCTAATGAAAAAATAAAGACAATCCATGTATTTGCTATTTACAAGAACAAAGTATTAAATATTAAAAATACATAAAAATATACCAGGATAAATGCAATAAAATCAAAGTTAAAATAATTATATTAATACTTGATACTGAACATTCAAAGTTAAAACAGGTTCTTTCTATATAGAAACATATTGATGGAGAGGAAACAAGGATAAATATGGATACATAGTATATACTAAATTAAAATCACTATAAGGCTGGGCACTGTGGCTCAGGCCTGTAATCCCAGCCAGCCAAGGCAGGCAGATAAATTAAGGCCAGGAGTTTGAGACCAGCCTAGCTAACATGGTGAAACCCCGTCTCTACTAAAAATACAAAAATTAGCAGGGCATAGTGGCATGCACCTGTAGTCCCAGCTACATGGGAGGCTGAGGCAGGAGAATTGCTTGAACCTGGGAGGTGTAGCTTGCAGTGAGCCGAGATTGCACCACTACACTCCAGCCTGGAAGACAGAGCAAGACTCGCCCAAGTGACAGAGTGAGATTCTAAAAAAAAAAAAAAAAGACAGATTCTATTCATAATAGCTCCCTAAGTTATCTATTTCGTGGAACAAATATAACAAAATATTTGAAAGATGTTTAGTAAACTAATAGAGAGAGATAGAAGATCCACACATGGGAAGAATCTATACATTATAAAAATTTCAATTATTCTCACATCATTCTAAATAAATTCAATCAAAACCCCAAAAAGAACTTGCCTAAATAGCAAGCTCATTTTAAGGTTAAAACAGTATAATAAATATTGTTTAGTATGTGAGGCAATTTTGTAAAAGAAAAACAAAGAGCCAAATAAATCAATAATTAATACTGATATGACGGTTCATCAATTTGGAAAAAAATAAAGTTATATCCCATTTTCACACCTTGTCTTATGCTGACATAGAAAATACCATAGAGTAGGTGTTTGGTTTGGTTTTGTTTTCTAGACAGAGTCTCGCTCTGTCACCCAGGCTGGAGTATCGTGTCATGATCTTGGCTCACTGCAACTGCAGCCTCCCGGGCTCAAGTGATTCTCCAGCCTCAGCCCCCTGAGTAGCTAGGACTACAGGTATGCACCTCCACACTCAGCTAATTTTTGTGTTTTTAGTAGAGATGGGATTCGCCTGTTGACCAGGCTGGTCTCGAACTCCTGTCCTCAAGTGATCTGCCCACCTCATCCTCCCAAAGTGCTGGGATTACAAGTGTGAGCCACTGCTCCCAGCCGAGTATGTGGTTTAAACAACAGAAATTTATTTTCTGTTGGTTCCAATGGCTAGAAGTTAAAGATCAGGGTTCCAGGATGCCTGGATTCTGGTGAGGGCTCATTTTCTGGCTTGCAGAGTGCCATTCTCCTCACTGTGTGGCTCACATGGCCTTTCCTCAGTTCATGCACATGGAGAGAGAAATATTGCTCTTTCTCTTCTTCTTATAAGGCTACCAATTCTATAGAACCAGGACCCTACTATTAGGACCTTAATTACCTCCAAAAATCCTGTCTCCAAATATAGTCATCTTGGGGATAGGGCTTCAGCACACCTATATGAAAACAAGAGTTACATGATTTCAAAGGTCCACATATATAAACAAAGAAAAACTATTAATATATAGATGATAATATAACAATAGTAATTTTATAACCTACTGTTTCTTTATTTGTTCCTCCATTTATCAGGAAATATCAAAACTGTTTGCCTTTAAACAATGTGTTATTAATAGAGGAATTCACATTTTTTCCCAACGGACTAGAAAAGTCTCAGAGAGAGACTGATGTATGCAAGGGACTGATTTTATTTCCAACCAATATACAAGGAGAGACAAGTCAACAAACAATCTTTGAACAATGGACTATTCATATGATGATTACTCAAAAATTTTTATCTCTAGTGAGGATTTCTATCCTGAATTTTGCCAATAGAATTTGAGCTCCTTGAACATTAATATTATAATTTTTTTTGAGATGGAATCTTGCTCTGTCACCCAGGCTGGAGTGCAGTGGTATGATCAATATTATTTCTCAATTATAAGTTATTCCCATGTTTCAGAGCCCATGATTCATTCATTAAGATAATCATAACAGTTGTGGACTATAAGCAGTTTATCTGTAACACTTAAAAATAATAGTTTAGGCATTATTTAAATAGTATAAATACTTCTAATTTTACCCAACGTCTGTAATGATGGGAAACAATTAATGGGGAGGGAAAAGTTCATGTGATCTTCCATTTTATTGACAAGAGTACATTAACTTGCTAACAAATTCACTGCAGATAAAAGCATTAATCAAGATGATAAGAATAAAGAATCTTATGGAAAAAGTAAATATCTATATGCACAATTTAAAGGACTGTCAATATTGCTGCAGTGTCACTTCACATGACTCATGATTACATCCAAGGGCTGTCTCGGGGAGAAAGGGAAAAGACAACGGGAACAAAGAGCTCTTTCAAAGAGGTTTGCCATAAAGGAGAGCATAGAAATAGGATGGTAGCTGAAGGATGATATGGGGTAAAAAGATTTTTAAAATATGAAAGATAGTGCCAGGCATGGTGGCTCATGCCTGTAATCTCAGCACATTGGGAGGCTGAAGTGGGTGGATTACTAGGTCAGGAGATCAACACCATCCTGGCCAACATGGTAAAACCCAGTGTGTACTAAATATAGAAAAATTAGCCAGGCAGGGTGGTGCGTGTCTGTAATCCCAGCTACTCGGGAGGCTGAGGCAAGATGATCACTTGAACCCAGGAGGCGGAGGCTACAGTGAGCCGAGATTGTGCCAGTGCACTCCAGCCTGAGAGATACAGTGAGACTCCATCTCAAAAAAAGAAAACCAAATATATATATGTATATATATATACACACGTATGTGTATATATATATATATATACGTATATATTCACATACATGTGTGTAAATATATATACATATATATACATATATGTATGTATGAGAGATAGTACAGCACACATGTATGCTGATAAGATGATCAAAATAAAAAGGGGATGATGCTGGTGCTATAAAGAGAGATTGGCCAATAGATTATATTTGAGCAGGTGGTTATCTATATGCTGATTACTCATTGGCAATAACTTGTATAACACTCACTGGCAATTAACTTGTATAACACTCTTCATTTGGCCAGCTTTATTTACTTTCTCTTAATGTTATTGGTGCATGACTTAGTAAGATAGGTAATAATACAAGCGAAAGGTGTGTGCCTGCACCTTATTTTTTAAATTGTTTTAAATAATTTGTTATAATAAATTTTTGAATTGCTTCATCGAAATCATTAGCATTGTCACTTGAGTATTACACATTTTAAAAAATACCAATTTATAGAACCACCAGTATAAGTGAATGCTACAATTGTGACATTCTTATGTTATTTATCTTGAGATCTGCGTCCATAGAATCTCTAAGGTGTTTGAACCACACATCCCTAATTTGCCCACATACTCAGTTTTCCAGCAGTATATTCAACATCTTCATTCAAAGGCCTAATGAACACTTTCAAAATTAAGTTTGTCTAGACTATATTCCCTTTACCACACTCTATCCTTCTCACACCTGGCTCCTCTGACAATTTTCCTTTTCTGAAACTGACTTTCAGGATTATAGGAAAGGTAAACATAAAAAATAAGTTTTTGGGTTATATTCTTAACACTTAATCTTTCTCCCACAGTTCACATTAAATCTATCAGTAAATATTTTCATATCTGCTTTTAAAATATTTCAAAGACTAGATCATTTTCAATGTTTATACCATCACCAGCTTATTAAAACCATCATCATCTCTCATTTGCACATTTCAGTATCCTCTAAATTGGTCTTACAGGTCTTCACTTATCCACCAGAGTATATGTTCTTGAAAGTGTTAATAATGGTCTTTTACAACACATTAGATTGTGTAAGAATGCTGTAACAACCACTTATTAGCTTGCAAAATTATTTACAATCAGTGAGATAAAGAGGGACTTTTCATTAAAAAATTACACCATCAGAATAGTAGAGGTTTTCTTAAACAAGATCTAAAAAACAAAGTCAAGAATGATTTTATACATTTGAATACATCCATAGTCAACACTTGTATAAAATAACCCAAATTTAAGACAGCCAGCAAAATCAGAGAATGCATTTGTATCATAAAACAAATATCAAACTATCCATAATTCATACATATTAATAAAAAAGACAAAAAGATCCAACAGAAAATATAGCAAAGACCAACAAATTCACAAATATTAAACATAAATGTCTAATAAACAAAAAGAAGCCAAAGATAACTACTTTGGTGGAATAAAATCAATGCATCAGGTATCATTTTCGTATAGATTGAAAAAACTCTAAAAGTCTGATAATACTAAAGATCAGTGAAGATACTGAGAAACAACTGATAGAGCTTTAAATTTAGAACAAGCATTCAGGGTAATCTGGAATATATTTTTTAAATATTATATGCTCATATAATTCATCAATTTCATTTCTAGGGAAACAGCACAAAATGAGATGTAAGAAAATAGAACAGTGAGAAATTTGCAAGTACCTAATGTTTTTGATAAGGGAAAGGCTAACCAAACATATATTCATACAATTAAATATTATGTGGCAATTAAAAGTATGAGATCAATATGAACTAATGTGTCTATACTGTCAAGAAATATTATTGAAAGGGAAAGCAGTCAGAGAGAAAAACATAAAAACATAGGGTGTGATAAGCTTCCATACACCTATGTGTTTGTGTGTGTAGATACACGTATTTGGATATGTGCATACATATGCTGTGAATATATATTCACAACACAATAATACATATATTTTCTATGACCATACATATGGATAGTACTATACTTAAGCACAATTCTTTGAAAAATCCCAAATTGATGTGTTTTTAATGAGATTAATACAAAATCATCTGTATTATCCAAATAATTGCAATGCCATCATAAAGACACATATTAACTGTTTCTGAAATACTGCACTAAAAGACTTCAAAATTTCTTTTTTTCTTAAAATAAATAGAAGAGTGGGAAAATATTCAGTAAAATAGTCAAATGTTGTTAGATAAAATTTTTCTATTAATCTGTGATGTCTTGTTTTTTGATAAATTATCTCATGAAATGTATTCGTGAAAAAAGGGCATATATTTCATATTCCACTGATGAAATTTACCGAGTTAGATGATAAAAATGTGACAGAACATGAAGTTCATTGTCTAAGAGTATAAGTAACAGCTGATAAGTATCTCTAAATGCACCTTGTAGAACTACCTTGAATAGTCAGCCAGATATTTCTATATTAAGTACTCTGAAACAAAGTTGATAATGCAAGAGGCATCTCCATCCCACCCTACACAAACACTGCAAATTTCATATTACTTGAGGTTATAACTATTTCTGCCATTTCACCTTTTTACAAATAATTGAGAGACCAAACACTCTAACCCCAAATTTGACCTGGCCCAAGTTAAACAAACCTTAAATTTCAAATTTGGGCTGTATCTTTATGTGAATAAAGGTTGCCACTAGTAGTCAATGGTACTATAATTCAGCATATCTTTGCAATAAATTTATCTGGAAACTTCTCTAAAAAATAATGTAAAATAAAATTTTGGGGGGAGTGTATTTGCATGTAGAAAAAAAACATGCAACTTTGCCTCTTCAATATGAATTTAGACTGTATTGCCTCTAAGAAATTTTTATTTCTCCTTGAGTCCTTTGTGTTGTGTGGGTGTGTGTATGTTCCAAAAATAACTCACCAAAGTAAATAGTATTACAGAAGCAATGAAGAAGTCATCTTTTTATTTCCAATGGGAAAAATCATTAAGGATAACAGACCTGAGATGTCAGATTACAACTTGGCCTGTTCTGCTGGACATGACTAGTAAAAGCCCAACTTGGACATTGTCATGATATTAATTTCTAATTGGAAAGGTCAAATATAGTAAGTTCTCTGCTGAGGGCCTCTCATATCTCGTAGATTTCCCTGATGGAAGACCTAAGTGGTCACCCAAGTAGTGCTGGATGAAAACAGGCAGGCCAACTTGGAGAAAGAGAAGCAAGACAAGACTAGAAACTGGGTTATACCCACAGGAATCTGTGCAAAATGATAACCACATTGGGGGAGAGATGGATAACTTCTCTCTCTCTCCTCTATTTTTCTTCCCCCATTTCTCCCTTTTTTTAAAAAAAAAAAAAATACTTTAAGTTTCCGGGATACATGTGCATGCAGAATGTGCAGGTTTGTTACATAAGTATACATGTACCATGGTGGTTTGCTGCACCTATCAACCCATCATCTAGGTTTTAAGCACCGCATGCATTAGGTATTTGTCCTAATGCTCTCCCTCCCCTCCCTGTGAGCTCTTAACATTCAGTTTTAAGTGTTATCTCCTACACTTTTAGCCATCCATTTAATCTCAGATCTTCAGTAAAAAACTACTGTGTATATATATCTTCCTGTTCACAATGCATAGGGGAATTAAAACATGAATTTAAGAAAAGGGAATTAATTCTGGCTTTGAGTTCTGAGTATTTTCAGCAACATCATAACAGGAAAACATTGGCGGTAACAGCAGTGGTTTGAAAAATGGCTCAAGAAAAGTGTAATAACAGAAGATAAGGCCAGGGGACGCAGCTACCAAGTAGGTAATTCAGGAAGGAACAGGAGGCATTCCATTTTTTCCAAATATGCTAGAAAAGTAATAGGGATAGAAATATGGTTTATATAACATTATAATATATTATATAACCAGAACCAGCCCACTTATCTTAAACCATCAAATTGGCCAAAAACACTGTATAATGCCTACAACTAGCTTTTAATTGCCATTAGAGAATTCTATAAAACAAAATATTAATTGATTCTGAATTAATAGGAAAAAATACACTTCGTGGTAGGAAAGAGACAGAGATTCTTGACTTCCTTATTTCCACCTGGTGAAAGCCAGAAGGCTTGGATAATGTAGAAACTATACAGAGAAAAATTAGAAAAGAAATATAAAATAGAAATATTTGTGTATTCCACATTATATAATGATGTGAAAAATTAGTATTTCTTGAAATGAAATTTTTTTTTTAGTGGAAACAGCTAAGATTTTTTAGCCATGCCTACAGGTCCTGGAAGATTTTGAACAGTTCAGAATCTAAATGGTTTAAAATTTTTCTTAGAATTGTAAAGTTTGACAAAACTCACTGTGGAATGTTTCAGGTTCAGCTGTACTATTTCTGGTATATTTCTACCTCATCAAACCAATCTTCAAAACTATTTTGGATTGGCACCCATGGCCCGTGAATCTGGCATAATTCTTCCTGATGGCAGTCACACCACCCTGACAGATGGGTCTGACTGCAGCCATGTTAGTGGGCAAGAATGTCCATCAATTTTAATTAAAGTTTGCAGGTTTTCTGAAATGGTAGTCATGCTGAAGTTTTTCCTACCTAATTTTAGTCTTCTATATAGCAAAATTTGCCCTAGTTTTTGCCTCTCAGTTCTTCCTTTTCACAACTTATCTATGTGCAAGCATTGAGTTTTCATGCTGACTTCTGGGTTTATATTCCTTATGTTATTTTGTTCTTATTTCTCCCCTTCAAATCCTTCCACATCATGTTCTTATTCTGTATTGACAACTCCAAAACTTTTTAGTTCTCTATCCATTCTATCTAGTTTTGCCTCAGTCATTGGTTATTCTTGGCCTTTCCAGTCAAGGATCCACCATTTCTTATGTGGATTACTAGGCAGTAATCTTAGTAACAGCCTCCTGTACCCCTACTCTCTCTTCTCAACATGGCAGATGGTGAGGTTCATTTAAAAGAAATAACTCACATCATGTCACCCATCTGTTGAAATGCCTCCAATGTATTTGAGTGTCTCTCACAGTAAAAGCCAAATTACTTTAAAAAGCTATTAGGACATAAATGATCTGATCTGAGATTTCTCTTTTTATATCTCTCAATATTTATCTCCTATCACTCTTCCTGTTTATTTATTTATTTTTTAACTGAACTCCATGTACCTCAATCTTCTTGCTGTTCTTTGAAAACATGAAACAGGCTCTCATCTGAGAGCACAGGACCTGTTCTTCCATTACCTGAAATAGTCTTCTCCAAATATCTGTGTGATGTATTTCCTCTACATATATATTCTTCTATATATATAGAGAGAGACAAAAATATATACAGGTAAATACAAATTGTTATAGTGTATACATGGGTCAGTATACATATGTATATTTCCTAGCTTTGTCTGCTGAAAGGTTCTAAAAGCAGTAACACCCAGGTAGCAATGAGCACAACTAGGACTATAACCATACTTACTAAGTATCATTCTCTAATAAATGAAACCAGAACTCTCTGGATAAATTTTAGAGCCAGTGCAGGAAAAATACCAAGATAAGCCTGGAGTAACTTGTATTGTCAGAAAGTAAGGACACACATACACACACACACACACACACACACACACACACACACACACACGTAGTATATAGTATATATATGATATCCATGTAGTATATTCTGTGTGTATATATATACATAATGCTGCAAAAGGAACCAGGAGCCACCCTAAAGTAGGTTCCATTGACCAAAGATAAAACAATGTGAAAAAAATAAATAATGATAGTATTGGTTTATAGCCCAAAGAATAAAATAAATACATTGAGTCTATGGTGGTATAAATGATAGAATAAGTAAATGTGAAAGAAGGAACAAATCTTCCTTATGAAAGGATTTCAAATAAATGTAAAAGGGAATGAGTGAAATAAAAATTCATCCTTAGAACACCACAGCAATAATTGCTTCAGTAAAGATCCACTGAACCATGAAACTGTAAAAAGAAACATAATGGTTAGGTAGATCTAAATAAATTATTTTCTCCAATATATTTGTTAATTACTCTAGTGGTGTCAACTTGTGCCCACATACCCTTTGATACTCCTCTCTCGAGCAAGTGAAGAGTAACCCCCTCCCCTTTGGGTTTAGACTGGACTTAGTAACTCTCTTCTAGCAAGCCAAGTAAGGAAAGGGAAAAGTGGTAACTTTATTCTGGTGAAACCTGGCGGACACCACCTTACCCAGTGATCATGGCTAGCACCACCAGTGATGTCATGTTGATAACATGGACTTTCTCATGTGATGTGATGACAGGGCCCTTTACCTCTGTTCTGTTCTTCATCCAAACTCATTGCCCCAGTCTAAAAATCAGAAAACATCAGCAAACCAAAAATTGAGGGACATCCTACAAAATGCATGGCCAATACTTTTAAAAAGTGCAAGGTTATAAAAAACAAGGGACCAACCAAGAAACTGTTACAGATCAGAGCAGACTAAGGAGACACCATAACCAGAAGCCACATAGTCTCCTAGATTACATCCAGGACAAAGCTCATTAGTGGAAAAACAGGAAATCAAAATAGTTTGTAGTATAAAGCATTGTGGTAAAGTTAATTTTTCATTTTGATAAAGGTACCATGGATATGTGAGATGTCAATCTTAAAAGAATCTATGTGAAAGAGCTAGGGGACTTCCTATACTATCTTCAAATTTTTTTCCATAATTTAAAGTTATTCTAAAATTTAAACAAACCTCTTTCCAGACAGAGCCATATTTTCATTTTTTATTTATTAAAAAACAAAACCACATTTTATTGTTTTGGAGGATTTTCACCTTCATCTAAGGCAATGTCTTATTTTATATTTCTGCATATAATCATGTTTCATAATGCCAAAAAAAGTTTTAGGAACTACATTCATTATAGCAGGTTTTGATTTTTTAATTTGTTTTTAAAGGATGGTTTTATTTACTATTACCCCTTGATTCTTCTCTCTATTCTCACTTCCCTAAAATACCCCTCTCAACTAGTCTGTACCATTTCAAAATTGCACTGAGACATTTCTTTGATTATCTCTTTATTAATGAGTTATCATGAGGAAACAGGAGAACAGGGCTTCCTCCTAATTATTGGTATGAGTTTAAGCTTGATGTCTTCTTCTGTGAACTGTTACTTAATTAGATTAGTGGTTTTATACTGTCTTAGCCACTGAGATTTTTATTCAAAGTATGTATCTCTCCTTCTCCAAAATGTCTGAGGAATAACATATTCTATAAGATTCAAAAGTCTTGAAATAACTATCATTTTGAAAATATATTCTGCTATTCATTAGGGCTATGAATTTCAGGTATCTCTAGTGCTGATATCACTTGGCAGTGAACATTTACTGTTTAATGATGGTTTACAGGACTTTATTTCTCCTTTACTCAGAACTGTGTATAAGGCCATAATGACCTAGTTCAAACCACATTTCCAGCCCAATTTCATCAACTTCCCTGGAAAAGTTTGGTCCAGCCACATATGCTTTAGCCCATTTTTCTTACATCACCCAGGTAAGAATGCTCATTCCCTATTTTCTACCTTGTGAACTCCATTTTCTCTCTCAAGCTTTATAAATTCGCTAAGCACAGAGACACCTTTAATTTTACTCCCATCAGATTTTTAAGTAGTGGGTTTTTTGTTGTTGTTGTTTTTTGTTTTAGTTACTATGAAATTCTACTGTGATTATATTTTATTTTTGTTTACATAGCTGTATTTAACAATGAAATCTTCATTCCCTGAGATTAAAAACTGTGACTTACTTAATTTCATGTCCTTACTCCATCTGGAATCCATCAGTGCCTAGTACATCATTTAGTATTACAGAGAGCACATGGTGCCAATATATTTATTTAAAATGAAATGCTTGAACTTCTGAGGAAAGAAAAAGAACATTTAAAATTCTTTATAACCTACATTGGACTCCAGATAGTTTATACTCTAAAATATTTAAATGGATTAATTAAAACATTCCTCAGAGCTTACAGTTCTGTTATCAGGCAGCTTAACTTCAAAATACATTATTAAACCTTTTTTTCCCTTTCTATTGATTTTCAAGTAAAACCTTGAAACTGCAGAAGTCTTTTCCCTTATCCTTGAAAGAGACTGCACATCCCTGCCTTTCTCACCATGTATACTCCCTTCACATCTATTTAATTGTATTCTAGTATCTATTTACATGCCTTCTTAGAAATTCCAGGGGCTAATCTTGAGACAGACAGATCAATCCTGGGGACCCAGCTGCAAAATTCTGGAGACTACTTCAAAGTCACAACCCAGCCATACCTGAGACAATGCCAGCCTGCAGTCCAGGTGGGCTGGGACCCAAGATAGCCACGGGAAAAAGACACACAGACATTACTCAGCACATTTATTAGTGCCTTCCTTATCAAATTTTCTCTTCTTAAACTCTTGCCTTCCCACCAGAAATCGAAGCGGTTGCTTTGGGTAGGAAATTGGCCACTTCCCCATTTCTAGTTTTGGTTAATAAAAACACTTTCTTTCTACCAGATCTTGCTCTTTTTCATTGGACTCTGCCAGCCATGAGCATCCTGACCCATGTCAGTCACATTTCCACTCAGTACTTTACTTTTACACCTTTAGTGATGCTCCATACAAGATAAACTATTTTGTGTAAGTTTTGAATAAAAAGTGCTTATAATATCATTGCTCATTTAAATATTCATGCAATGCATATTTATAAGTATAATGGAAGAGGAGCTAAACTAGTGTCCACGAGTGGAAACTTCCTTAATAAATGGTAAAAACAGCCAACTTAAACCAGATCTATAGCATCAATATACATTAGAATTGTCAGGATGGAACATTGAACCGTATTACATTATCTTGAGCAAGAGACATACACGCTCAATTAAGATACAAAGAAGTTGAAATAAAGTCAACATTTTTTCAAGAGGAATATTTTGTCAAGAATATCACAGGAAAAATTTTAACTTCCTTATGAAATATCACCTGTGCATAAGATGGGAATCTTTCCACTTATTATTTTCTTGAAAATTGCCATGTGTGAAAAGTAAATTACTACGAACTTTTAGTTCCAGCCAACATGGCATAGGCTCATTCCTCCCAGCTACTCCTTCTTACAATTAAAATATCCTGGACAAAACACAACAAGCAAAGACAGAAAGACTCTGGATGGTGGAAAGAAGAAGTCAGCCTACCTCAGGACACCAGGACTTGCAGAATGACGTGAGAACAAGTTTGATGGTTTCCATATTGCCTCCCATATACCCCAGCCAAAATGCTGCTAACGCCTCCAACCTAGAACCACTAACAGACACAGATTTAAAAATAATTTAAAAAAAGAAGCACCTAAGAAAGTCTGCTTCCTCTAGCTAAGGAAAAACGGTGACCTAACAAGGGAAAATCTTCTTGCCCATTCCCAAGATGGAAAATAAATAAATATAAAGGTATTCAACTCCCCCAACTCTAGCCATCACCAAAATAAATTGATACTCCCAGTTCCTGTCTTCCTTCACCTTCTCACCCTCACCTTTCCCTAGTTTCAGCAGAGATGAACAGGAAGCTCATCATAAACCTATGTCTTGTTGCAGAAGCAAAAACTAGCTGCCCAGTTGTATCAGAGAGGCTGAGCAGGGAGCTAATCTCCCCACAACTGCTGGAATCATACAGTGGTATTACTACTCAATCAGGACAGTGTCAGCAGGATCCAGTGGGAAGATTAGTCTCCACCCTCACCCAGCATCAAGGATAATGAATCAAGTAGTGACAATTACCTTGGGCTAGTCAGCATTTCACATCCTGGTGTAAGCAGGACCCAGTGGGAAGCTGATCTTCCACACACCCAGCAGCAAACCCATTGAATGGAGTAATGCAAAGCAAGGCTAGTCAGTACTCTAGTTCCTACAACCCACCCCTGAAAATGGGGCCCAATGAGAAGGTGAGCCTTTTCCACCAACTGGAAACAAATAGATGTAATGAGGCAGTTTGAGATGGAACAGGATGGTATTCTGTGCCTACCCCCAAGAGTCACTCAGACCCAAAAGGGAGCTGAGCTTTTACCTCCATCCAGCAATCAAAGAAGTAGAATAAGTTGGTGGGAGGCTTAACTCTCAAAAGTCAACAATAAATGCAACAACAAACAATCCAATTAGAAAATGGGCAAAAGATGCATCATATGCTTCATCACAGAGGATATAAGATGGGAAATAAGTACATAAAAAGGTATTCAACATCGTTAGCCATACAGAATGCAAATCAGATATACACACTTATGAGAATAGCTAAAATAGAAAATAGAAACACCAAATCCTGGCGAGGATGCAGAGGATCACTCATACATTGCAGGTGGGAACATAAAATAGCACAGCTACTCTAAAAGCTTCTTATGCTACTAAACATGCTCTTACCACATATCCCAGAAATTGTACTACTGGAATGAAAAAAAAGCTCCATTTATTTCAGCAAAATGAAAACTTTTTACACAAAATCCTGTGCACGAATGTTTGTCACAGCTTTATTTGTAATAAACTCCAAACTGGAAACAACCCAATGCCCTTCAAAAGGTGACTTGTTAAACAAAATGTGGTACATCCATGCCATGGAATACAACTCAGTAATAAAAAAGGAACACTATTAATACATACAACATGGGTGGATCTCAAGGGAGTTATGCTGAGTAAAATTAAAAGCCAGTCCCAAACATTACATAATGTAGGATTCCAATTATATAATAATTTTGAAATGACAAAATTCTAGAAAAGAGGACAAATTAGTCATTTTCAGTGTTTATGGAGGTGTGGACAGGAGGGAGGTGGGTGTGGTTATAAAAGGGTAGTAAGAGGGATTCTGGTGATGGGATCATTTGTATCTTGACTGTATTGGTTGTCACAAACCCACACATGATAAATTTGTATATAACTAAATATGTACATACACACACACGCACTTGAGTGCATGTAAAACTTGAAAAACCTAAATAAGGTTGAAGATATGTATCAATATTAATTTTCTGGTTGTTATTTTATATTATAATTATGTAATACTGATGATACCACTGTAGAACTAATTTAAGGGCATATGGAATCTATATTATTTCTTAGGTTGCATGTGAATCTACAATTATCTTATAAATGTTTCTTTAAAGTAAATTGTGAAGTATTTAAAGTCGATGCAACTCAATAAAGAATACTGCTTTGTTTTGCTTAGCAGTAGCACTCTATATTTCTGTTAGAAAAGGGATGTTTTTCTGAAACTTTAAATCAAAAGCCATTCCTGGAATTATCACCTTTGTCCTGCAATATGCTTTGAAATATTTTCATGAATTCAGAGTTACACAAGCTGATAGTATAAGGCCCACCACTGCTGAGAGAAGAAAGTACTTTTAATAAACACACACAGTTCCTCTAATCTAGTAAAAGATCAATCCTGATATAATCCTTGTACAGAATTTCATAAGTGTGAGAAATGCTAAATATTAACAGTCCTATAAAAAATCTATGCATGCTTAGAAAAAGTAACACACAGGCACATACACAAGTACAACACACAGATGTGATGTTACAATGTCCCACTAAGCACTGGTAACCCCTTACTTTGTATTTTGTAACCGTTTTGATACAGGGTGAACATTTTCTAAAAAATAAATGTGAGATTTTTAGGAAATGTATTTTTTAATATTCTATTAAGAGACATATTCTGAGTAAATGATAAGTATTTTTCAAAGCACTGGGTAGTTTCCAATGGGCTGAAAATATAAAACCTAACATTATTGTAAAATAAGAAATTAAAGTTTATTTATTAAAGGTAGGCTGGGCGTGGTGACTCACACCTGGAATTCTGGCACTTTGAGAGGTCAAGGCTACCAAGGATTACTGGAGCCAAGGAGTTCAAGGCTGCAATGAGCCATGATTGTGCCACTGCACTTCAGCCTGGATGGCAGAGCAAGACCCTGTCTCTTAAAACATTTAAAAAAATGTAAATTTTAATTTCCAATGAAGGGATACATTCTGACAAAGCAACCTCTTGGGAACCTAAAACATGCAATGATATAAAAACAAAGTATATTGTTGTTCGCAGTGAAAATAGTTGTTATCTTTTTGTATCATTATCGTCAAGGTTGAAACAGGAAGTACCTGAATGGTATCTCAAGCAATGCATGTTAAACTAAGGACAGGACAGCATTAAAGAACATGGTGATTCCTAAAGAGATAATTGACAGATCATATTTTAAAAGTCTTGATACTTGAGGTCAAGGAATGAAGATAAAAACTACCTGAAATTTTTCAAAAACAAAGTAAAAGGTGACATCACATCAGAGCAAGAGTGAAAATTATGGATGGAGAAACAACCAAAAGGAAACTCTAAATTAAAATTAAAAACTTTCAGGGGGCAGGCGCGGTGGCTCAAGCCTGTAATCCCAGCACTTTGGGAGGCCGAGGCTTGTGGATCAGCTGACGTCAGTAGTTTGAGACCAGCCTAGCCAACGTGGTGAAATTTTTAGTTTCTACTAAAAATACAAAAAATTAGTTGGGCTTGATGGTGGATGCCTGTAATCCCAGCTCCTTGGGAGGCTGAGGCAGGAGAATCTCTTGAACCTGAGAGGTGGAGGTCACAGTGAGCTGAGATTGTACCATTGCACTCCAGCCTGGGCAACAAAAGTGAAACTTCATCTCAAAAAAACAAAAACAAAACAAACAAACAGACAAAACTGTCAGGGGCAAAAATACTTGACAGCATAGTTAGTTATTACATAAACCTTCATTCTACATGGCCCTGATGACATTAAGACAAAACCAAAAGATGCTAGGCTGAAGCAGGAAAGGAAGTGTAATAACTTTATTGGATTGGACTGCCTTAGCCTTAGTGAGTGTGGGCGAAGTAAGAGGAACTTGTACGTTAGTGAATATAATCACAAGTGCATTTTTTGAAGAGAGCTCTTTGTTCTGTTCAGTTTAAATGGAATCTGTAAAAAAGGGAAAATGGGATGTTATAAAGTTACCTTTCTCAATATCCTGCAAGTGAAAGGGATTTCTGAATCATATCAATAAAATATTTAAATTGAGACATTGAAAATTTGTGTTTGAACATAAATTAGAAAATAAAATTCATACTTTAATACCTTTTTTATCTTTACTATTCTAAAGAAACTGTAGGCTTAAGAAGATCTGGTGGGCAAGTCAAATTTATGAACAGAGTTAAGAACATTGAAAAATTGTGACCAGGAATATAAATAGAATGTTAGAATGTCTTTCCACTGTGAAACTGAAGCTTTATAGAACTTGCAGACATGGCAAAAATTCTATTTATCAAAATCATAAAGAGAAACAGACAAAAAGGCTGGTCATAGGTCAGTTACCTTGATAGATCTGGTCAGATTGTGAAAGGGGCTCAGGCACTGAAAGGATAAATTACTTTTTACCTGCCTGAAAAAGGCCAAGGGGAAAAAAGCATCTTTGGGGCTGAAAACTATTAGAACATTGTAGCTGTCTTGTGGAAATTGTTAATATCCAGGACAGCCACATTAGTTATTTTGAAGAAAAAGTGTAGATTATGAGGAGGATATGGTTGTCTCATTATTGTTAGTAAAAAAATAGAGATGACTTATTTAGTACATTAGGGTAAATGTGCTTCTATTTTTAGTCAATTATTAAATATTTGGATTTGATTTGTTTAGGAAACAAAGTTTCCTGCAAAAAAAAATCTTAATAAGTCTTTTAACAACAACAACAACAACAACAAAATATATATAAATATATATATATAATATCCCTACCTTCAGGATGTTTTTATCTGGATACTGGTATAAGACTAATGTATAAAAATTCAGGTATTAAAAAAATTTAAATTTAAAACAGTAACAAGCATATAATTATGTGCTTCATTTATCTGTAGGTACATTGTCCTACAGCAGTGATCTTTAAACTTGAGCATGCTTGACAGAACACAGATTATGACGCCCACCCCAGAGTATCTGGAAGTAAGTCTAAGGCAGAGCCCAACACTTTCCATTTTTAATAATTTCCCAGATGATGTTAATGTGCTAATCTAAGGACTACACTTTGAGAACCACTACCCTAGAAGAATTCAGAAGAGGAAAGTTATCATTGCTTACCGGAATAGCTGAGCATGTTTTGCAGAGTGATGAATACAGATTTAATTGTTATCAGTATATAATTTGTATTCAGGCAGTCAATGGTAAATTCCATAGTTATTTTGTTACTGTTTTTTTTCCCCCTCCTGCTCCTTTTCCTTTGCCTTCTTATTTTCTTCTCTTCTTCTTTGGGCTGAGAACAAATCATCTCCAAAATCCTTCACTATAATCTTAATTTTTTCTTAAGAAATCATATGTGTGTCTTAGTAATTTAAACTGGTACATTCCTATCTGGTGCTGACCAATTTCTCAGTAACATTGTCCAGCTACATGTACAACTTGCCAAACATAGTTGTCTCTCCAGTAAACCAATCAGTCTGATTCCACTGACCACAGCAAACTTCATTATTGAAGCAAGGGAACAAATTGGGCTGCTATAATGAATGCCATACACAGATAAACTCTGCAGTGTCAGCAATGTTTGCTCAATATTTCTGAATGCAAAGGCAATTTAAATAGTGAAATGTCAGGATAAAGATATAACAGGATGTAGGGATATAAGGCCAGATTTTTTTTTACATTACTCAATGGAAAATTTTACCCACAGGAACTTTTCTTTAACTCCAATAAACTTACTTTTATTTTTGAGATACATGAATTGTTTTCTTTTTATTTTTGGCTGGTTATTTTTCCAATCAAAAGGTATCATATTTTATATAAAAATGCAGTGTTACTGTGTTTCCTCTCTTCAAATTATATCTTTGGTACTCTATCTGGAAAAGAGAGAGGGGCAAGAAGATTTATTATTTTTAAAATAGTTACAATCTGTTTTTAAAATGACATAATGTACTTTATGATGCATGTGCCAACATATTTATATTAAGCATTAAAGTATAATCACAGCATTTTTACAGGAAGATGCTGATTATATATGTTTTCTATATCACTCACATAAGCATCTTTCTATGAGTGACAAATTGAAATATTTAAACTCAGGTTTCTGCTGGTTACTGTTTTATTTTATTGAAAAATTGAATAGACTCCATTTTAACCTGCACATGCTGACCAAAGAGAAATTTAAAGTAATGATATTTTTTACTATAAATCCAAACAGACTTTATCCACATCATTTATATGGATGTAATATCTACCTATCTATCTCTTTTTATTCCAATTCAATATTATAGTAACTTCTTTTAAATAAAATGTAATCTTTATGGTTAATGCCACCCACCTATGACCTAATTAATATGTAAATATTAGGTAGGTACATACCATGAAGAATTAAATAACTGATTAGTTTATTTTAGTTTTACTTTATTGTAAATTAAGACATTTTAACTTTTTGGTTGTTAAAGCAATGTGCATAAGTAAATGTAGAAACTCAGAATCATTTAAAAAATAATTACAATCTAATATAGGTAAATGGAAGGTTTTATTTGAAGAAACAATAAGTTAAGTTCCATATAACTTGGTTAAAATGCACCATAGCATTCAGCCTTTAATATTTTAAACATGTCAATTTAAAAAAAAAGTCTTTTTTAAAGTAGTAGAAGCTATAGCAACTTGAGAATAAAAGTAAAAGCAAGCATTTCAAGTAAATAAAAATGACAAAGTTATTGATGTCTAATGCAACCCATCACACCCCCTGCTAAGATGAATCAGTCCTCAATCTAGTATTTTTAAACACTGTCAGAGATGCCATATCTAGTTTTTGAATAGTTATTTCACAATTTTGTTTTAGTCTCATGACTTTTGCAGCCACATATATGCTAGATTTTAATTTTTCTAAATTATAATCAATTCTTAACACTGACACCAAAGTGAGTAGGTAGATTCTAATCAAGGATACCCTTACTCACGTCAGAATCTCAAATATCTATGGAACTGCTTTTGGTGTCATACAACTTCATGGTCAAAACAATTACTTTTTATTGAACATTTGAGGACCCATACTCATTCTCACTGCTGTTTTAATTAATGCTGGCTTCAAATCCTGTAAATTATATTAATATTTTAAAAAATAACATATGGAGCACCTGCACAATCTTGGATCTGAAAGCCTAAGTACCTGCTCCAGAAAGAATTCATTGTCTTATGTCTGTAGCTATTTTTTGATCAAGAAAGCCATTAAACTTGACTTCATATCACCAAATAGGAAGAACAGCAGCACAATTAATAATGTGCTAATATTCATAAACTGAATTAATTAAATGATTTGTGTAAGGGGTCTCATCCATGTTTTTTTTTTGTACTTTGCACGAAGTATTGGGTACATTGACATTATTTTTCAGATTAGGAAATGAAGCCCCATAACTTTAAATGAAAGAACTTTAGATGAAATAACTAATACATATTTATGGAATATTTAAATATTGTTGAAATGTATTGGAGAAAGTCTTAGTGATCATTTAGTTCAATTGCCCATTGTTAGAGGACATGGATTCAAGTCTTGAACCAGAATAAGTTATCTAAATATCTCTAAGCCTTAACTGCCCATCTGTAAAATTGAATAAGTATGCCAAATTCATAGCAAACTGATAATGATATGTGAGAAGCAAAAGTGGCTGTTAATCTGCCTATGATTTTTATTTGAATGCAAGTAGGTATCTAGGCATCCCAACAATTTACAGTAACCTTTTTGGAAAATATTTGCATATTATTCATTTTTACATAAGTAGTAAAAGCACATGGTACAGAATTTAAAGGAAAATTTAAAAAGGAAAAGAGTAAAAAGTAAATGTCGACCATATTCCTTTTCTCTAAGATTAATTTAAACCATTTGTTTTAGAAACTTTTTTTTTGTTTTATTATAACAAACCATTTGTTTTAGAAACATAATTTTTTATTAAAGACATTGTTTCTCGGCGGGGCGCAGTGGCTCACGCCGGTAATCCCAGCATTTTGGGAGGCCAAGGCAAGTGGATTACTTGAGATCAGGAGTTTGAGACCAGCCTGGCCAATATGGGGAAACCCCCATTTCTACTGAAAATACAAAAATTAGCCAGACGTGGTGGCACCCACCTGTAATCCCAGCTACTACTGAGGCTGAGGCAGAAGACTCTCTTGAACCCGGGAGGCGGAGCTGGCACTAAGTTGAGATCGCTCCACTGCACTCCAGCCTGAGCTACAGTGTGAGACTAAGAAAGAAAGAAGAAATTATTTCTCAGCCACACTCAACCTTCACTGCACACCCCATCAGAATCATCAGTGTTCTCCCTGCCCATGCATTCATTCAGGAGAGAAGAAGGGTTTCTGATGTGATACCTTAAACCATCTGATCTAGACCAGCTGCCCTGGAGCACAGCAATTATTCTCCATCATTACCATTTGGATTCCCTCCCTTTCTCTCATGTGTTTGCCTCCCCTTTTTTCATTTTCTGGTTTGTACTCTTGTTTGAGTAAAACATATACTCCAACAGTTTAGGGAGAAAGAGCACGTAGGAAGTAAATTTTTGACATTTAATAATCTCTGAAAGCATCTTCCTTTTTCACTTTCACTTGGCTGGCAAAAAAATTCCAGTTGGAAATCAGTTTCCTCCATACTTTTAAAAGTTTTGCTTACAGTATCTTTAATAGAATCTTCTAGCTTTCAGTGTTGCCCATAGTTATATTCTCAAATCCTAAATTTGAAATATTCTAAATTTTCCACAATATGCTTTAAAGAAAATATATTTTTAAAAGGCATCAACTGTTTCTCAACAGGCAGCTCACCATGAAATATATAAATAAATAAGGAAGCTCAGAACGCTCCAGCCTCACCAGGCACTCAGAGCTTGTGCTTGTAACCTGTTCCAACACTCCTACACAGGAGCACAGAAGTGTTGGGGAAAAAGAATTAAAAACAAAATATTTTTCTAGCCCAGATAACTTCTCCACAAAGATAAAAGAGAGGGGGAAAAAAGAAGTTTATTATTGAATAATAAAGTCAGAATGTGATGTGCATCAGTGGCAATCTGCTCATAGATTTTATATAGTCACCCTTTCAGATAGGCAATCGGAGACGACCCAGCGCATACATATTCTCAGGATAAACAATGACTGGCCATGAAGTAAGAGGACTTGACAGCACCATTTGTCACACATAGTTTATCCTAAATTCACTTGGTAATTGTGGTGACCATCTGTGTTAGCTAAATGATTTATTCAAAGGAAAAATAAGCTTCTCGTGTCTTCAAGACAGGAAGTAGTGTTGCCATTTGGAGCAGGACGTCTGCCCAAATTCAGCTCCAATGGAAATAGGGATGCCTTTCTTGATGATTACAGTTGGAAGAGAGGCAGAAAGGTGGCAAGAGGCTTATTTAGCTTTTAAAAATATTTGCATACATTTCAAAGAGACAGAACTTATAATTACAAGTTTTATAAAATACATACAAACGGAGTGGAGGTGTCTTTTTACTTATTTTTAACAGGGAGAATTAAGTCTCTTGTTTTAATTTGAATTTGCCCTTACACAAGCAAAAGTTTCCAGACATCTGAGGAAAGTCTCATAAATGAAAGACAGAATGCCATGGAAGAAAAAAGAGGAAGAAGAAAACTTGGAAATAAAACTTTTCATATTCTTAGAAAATATGACACATTAAAAAACATTTTTATTTATAATCATTCAAACAATAAAAAAGAAGTCCTTGGAAATAAAAACTTAAAACTAGTAAAATAAATAAAAATAGGAAGTAAAGTCAAGGAAATCTACTGGATGGTAGAGATTTGGGGAAAATGGCAAGGGGGAAAGGAAGGGAAAGGAAGAAAAAAAAAGACAAGGGAAATATAGAAATTAGAGAACCAAAAATTGAATTATAGAAGCTCCAAAACTAGAGAATAGAGAAAACAGGAGGAAAGCATCAATTAATTAGTGCTACTTAGCAAAATCCTTTTACTAGATGTGTGGAAGGTTACTGTTCCCTGGATTCTATATGCATTTTATGTGTTTTTAATATCATACAAATTTGCAAATAACTGAATAGGTCATCTTTAGCAACTCATTTATATTTCTCTTGGTTTCAGGTTTTGTTTGTTTAATCATTAATGTAAAAAAAATGGTCTTAAAGATAATCTTGGACTCTTTCAAATCCAAAATTGAATTAATTCTAGTACAAAGCTTAGCTCAACATGTTGCTTTTCCTCATGGTATAATAGCTGGTCACCATTGGCTCTTTAGTACTTCAAATATAGAGTTGCTGAGTCCAATTTCAAAGTATTATTTAACAACAAACAAATACCATAGCTGAATCAGTAAGCTCAGTATTTGGAACTGAAGTATATGAATTCCAATATGTGGAGATAAAGGAAGATGAAAAGATAAGTGAACTATAGTTTGGGACAGAAGGAAAAATAAAGAGAAATAATACTTTTACTTTGAGTCTTCTTTCCATGCTAGGTTAGAATGTAAGATATTAACTCATTTCTTGCTTCCAGCATTATGATCAAATTACAATGGTTAAAACTACACATGGTAGGCTGATCATAAACCCAGTTTATCCTGGTGATCAGTCAATGCTTTTTAATTATATTATTACTCCCTTTCATCCTGATAAGTAAATTTTGAGAGTAAATTATCTAGTCACATTATTCTCCAAGAAGTTTTTTTAAAAGTAGGATATAAAAAAGTAACGATCAGTAGTAAAAATAGCAACCAGCAGTCCTGAGAATCATTGGCATTTAGAAGAGTGTCATCAATTTCTTAATCAATAGGGAATTTAGAGGGACTAAATATTGTCTTTCACTGCCTTTGTTTGGAGATGTTCATTAAAACAGTCAGGGCAAAAAGACGTGAGAAAGGCAGAAGGGGGAAAAGATAAGAAGAATATGTCTGCTGGGCATATTGAGATGACACCAGCAGATGCTTCAGGTGACCCTGTGGCATCAGCATAGTGGCCTAGCTGTCAATAGTTAGCAAACATCACTGAACATGCTTCACGTGGGAACACCTGCTACCAATTTCAAGACAGAAAGCACACTAAAATCACATAAAGTATCAAAACATAGTATGCGTTAACTACACTTTTAAAAATCTTTAAGTGAGGAAAACTTTTCTAAGTTTGATCAATACTCTAGAAACCAAAATTATTTTTTAATTGAAAGCTTAAAAGCAATAATAAAAATTATTCTGAATGAAAAAAATAAATCAAGCAAAGAACAAGTCTGGGGAAAAATTCGCAACTATGGCAGAAAATAAGATAATTTTATTAATTAAACAAAAACATACACAATAAAGAAATAGACAATATTAGTAGACAATTTACAAAACGTAAGATAGTTTGAGAAAACAGTAACAACAGCAAATGACCATCAAGGATCTGAATGTCCCACTGCATAATTGAAGCAATGTAAAATAAAAGTCAGATATCTTTTTTTTTCAATTCTCCAGTTGAAAAATATATGTGTGTGTATGTAGTGTTTATTAACATTTTGTTGTTGGAGGGTGCTATGGCTTGAATAGGTCTCCCAAAGATCTTGTGTTGAAAATTTCATCCCCAATGCAACAGTTTTGAGAGGTGAGACCTTTAAGAGATAACTAGATTATGATGATTCTGCCCTTGTGAGTGGATTAATGTCATTATCAGGGGAGTGCATTAGTTATCTGAAGAATGGGTTTGTTATAAAAGCAAATTCAAACCCCTCTTGCTCTCTTGTGGATACTCTTGTGCCCTTCTGCCTTTCACCATGGGATGATACCACAAGAAGACCCTCACTAAGTGAAGCCCTAGCCTTGGACTTTCCAGCCTCCAGAACCATGAGCCAAATGTTTCTGTTGTTTATAAATTACTCAGTCTGTGGTATCCTGTTATACCAACAGCAAAACAGACTAAGGCAGAGTAGATTGGAAACAGATGCTTTTATGTTTTTCTGATTGTAGTATACATTTTTTATGGTTTTCTAGAGGGCAATTTGACATTAGCTCTGTAAATTTTAACAGCATATATACTTTGCCCAGCACTTCTCCTGATACATATTCACCCAGACTTTCCAAAGAGTCTTCTCATCTGTTTTTCATCATTGCATTTAATGTATTGACAAAAAACTGCAAATATCAAAAATAAATATCAGCTTGATTTTTTTAGTGTAATCTACAATTAAAATTTAAATATAATTAATCAATAAAATAAATGGAGGCTATTTTTATGGACAACTCTTTAGAAATATTATCGGGAGGAATAAGCATGCTTGAGAATAGGAAATATGTAGCAAAATCCCACCTGCTGGCTCTTACTCTGCTAAGCATGCATAACAAAATGCTAACATTTGCAATATTTGGGGTCATTTGGGAGGAGGTAATAGAAGATAATTTTTATTGTTCATCACACAAATTATTTGTTTTTTTTAACCTTATAAAATTATTTTGTATTGCTTTTATTTTAAAATAAATAATGTAAAGCAGCATTTTAAGAACTTGAAAAAGTGATTTCTAAATACAAATTCTAGGAGACTTTAAATATTTTAGTACCATTTGTCATTTTAAAATATTGAGCTTTCCTAAAGTAATTCCAATAAATAAAAAGTCAAATATATAAGGAAGTTTTAGGAATTGAAGCATATATTCTATTGAAATTATGCAAAAGTTATTATTTAGCAATCATAAGTTAAGCCCTTAAGTCTACACAAGAGATTCTACTAAACAGACTATTCATGTCTTCTGTGCCCACTGAACCTATTGATAAAGTAATCACCTTCTATGTGCTGATTCTCTTTTGCAGGCTGAAGGGCAGTGTGGACCAGTGTCCTCAGATTGTTTAGGCAAGTTGCTTCACCTCCCTGAACTTCAATTTCAACACCACTTAAATGATAATAACAATGCCTTCCTGCTAGTAATGACGACTGAATGCATCAGAATTAAAAGGGTAAACGTGTAAAAGCATAGCTACTGAATAAATGTTGCTTCAATATAAGTTTTTAAATATTTGATAATAATGTGTTTCCATTGCACGGGAAGAAAGTGTGTGAACATCCAAACAGGAAAACAAGGTCATCCATATTTAATACTCAATGCCCCCTCACTCCTTTACACTCACTGCACAACATCCCTGAAAAGATGAAGACTTGGGGACAGCGGATGTTTATAAGTAGTTGCTGATAAATGTGTTTGCTTGCTACCCTGTGGCCCAAGGCTTTTACTTTATGAATATTGAAAGAACATAATCAAATCTATCCAGGTCCGAACTAATGTAATAGTAACAGTCTTTCTGAATGCCATGGTTTTGGAGCACATTTCATGGTAAAGCAGCTAAACAGCTACTACAGTGAGAGGTGAGCCCACACTGGCCACCACCTGCAATCTGTGTTGTCCCAGAGTCAATCCAGATCATGGTTCTCTCTTGAGGCCTTCAGACCAAGGTGCAGGGACAGCTTTTCTCCCTTCATTTTTACATTTTTCTTCTTTCCCTTTTGCTCTTGTTAAGAGCTACCTGTATAAAGTACTTTATTACTCATCTTCTAAGAGCAAAGGGAAAATTCAATGAACCTATCTGAACCTTGGTAATGCAACATTAATTAAGCTGAGACTTCACCAAACAAGACATATAAAGTAATTAATGTATTCAGCCCCAGCACATACAAAATATAGCAAAATGGACAGCCTTCAAAAAAATTTTATCTCTATGTAAGAGAATAATTTTCTTACCACAGTGCTTTCTGTGAAATCACAGATTGTTTTTAATCATAATAAAAAAATTAGGCCATGCTGTTATAGTCAGGATTAAATTTTAATTGATCCATAAAATAATATCAATTGCTAACAGTTTTAGGTGTTTACCATGTGTCAAGCTTTGTTACAAACACTTGATGTTTATTCTTTTCCAAAATCTTCATGACATTATGACATAAGTCCTATTATGTCCCCATTTTACTCATGGTCATTTGATTTTGTTGTTGTTGTTGTTTAACTTATTTCCATAGATTATTGGGGAACAGATGGTGTTTGGTTAGATAGGTAAGTTCTTTAGTGGTGATTTGTGAGATTTTGGTGCACCCATCAACTGAGCAGTGTACACTGCACCCTATTTGTAGTCTTGAATCCCTCAGCCCCTTCCCACCCTTTCCCTCTGAGTCCCCAAAGTCCACTGTGTTATTCTTATGCCTTCGCATCCCCTAGCTTAGTTCCCACTTATGAGAACATCCGATGTTTGGTTTTCCATTCCTGAGTTACTTCACTTAGAATAATAGTCTCCAATCTCATTCAGGTCATTGAAAATGCCATTAATTTATTCCTTTTATGGCTGAGTAGTATTCCATTGTGTGTGTGTGTGTGTGTGTGTGTGTGTGTGTGTGTGTGTCTGTATCACAGTTTCTTTAACCACTTGTTGATTGATGGGCATTTGGTTTGGTTCCACATTTTTGCAAATGTGAATTGTGCTGCTATAAACATGTGTGTGCAAGTATTTTTTTTTTTGCATAATGACTTCTTTTCCTCTAGATATATATCCAGTAGTGTAATTGCTGGATCAATGGTAGATCTACTTTTAGTTCTCTGAGGAATCTCCACACTGTTTTCCATAGTGGTTGTACTAGTTTACATTCCCAACAGCAGTGTAGAAGTGTTCACTGTTCAATGCATCCACACCAACATCTATCTTTTTTTAATTTTTTGATTATGGTCTTTCTTGGTCGTTTGAAAGAAGAGGAAAAACTGGAAAGAGAAAGAGCAAAGAGGAAAATTTTTTGAAGTACATTTTGAGCAAAATTTGCCACTTTCATTTTTTTGAGAGACTATAAAAATAACTTGCAGGAGATTTGCAATTGTTTTTGGAAGACAGATATTCATGTTTCTAATTTGACATAGAGCAAAGATGGGACCATGAAGCATATAATGTGTATGTATATATGCATATTTGTGTGTATCTATTTAAGTGTGTATGGAGGAGACTGCATATGTTCTCTATACGTGAGGATCACATGAGAATCCTCAAATTTAAATCTAATCACTAAACAGTACTTATTCTTTCATAAGCTTAAACAAGTAATGCTCATTTATTGTATGTAAATAGATTTTTGCCTAAATTAATATTTTTCTTGTCACTTTGGTATTTTTTGCTTTTTATTTTTGTTTTATCTGAAGGATAAACAGTGATTCTAAGCAGATAAGAATTTCTGCCATATCAATGATATATTGCTCTTCTGTTAATTAATTTTCAAAAAATGTAGACTTTTAACTAAATATAAAATAATTTGCAGAATAGAAAAAAGATGTTAGGTAAATAAAAAGAATATGAAAACTTTGGATATTTCTGGCTTAACATCAATCATACCTTTGTGCATATATATTAATCAAAATCAAAAAAATTATCTAAAGATTAAGTATTAAGAGAAAACTTACATAGGTAGAATTGAAATGACTTCTTTCTTATAATGGTTTTCCTATAGAATGTTAAGGTACATTTCTTTTATACATAATTTATTAATTTTTATTACTCCAAAGTCAAGAATGATAAATCTTTAAAATTCAGTCTATGATTTTATTGACCAACAGCTTAACAGAAATAGAACCTCAAATTTTAAAATCTTATTGTCATTTACTCAAGTATTATCTCAATAAAATGCATGTTAATATCTTTTAAAAATGTCTTCAGGAAAAATATAAGCAATAATTTTTATCCTACACCCTGAAGAACTGAACTATTTCTAAGGCTAGAATTCTTAGCTGATTGATACTGTATAGTTTGTTGATGCTTCACAAAGCTCAAGATCTTTTTATAAATCAATCGCTTGAGATGAGATGTTTTCTCATTGTAATATACAATGTGTGTTGTCTCCTCCTAAACAAATTTCTTATCACAAAGGTACAAGTAAAAGTGTCTCAAATATAAACTTAATGTCTGATGCACATGTTCTACATGTATAAGCATGCTATAAAATAAAAATCTGATCTTTTGTTTCTAACTCATACACACTAGATTTGCCTTTTATGTTTCTCACTACTAAATTTTAAAAGCTTACTTATAAAATCATTATAAGTATTCAAAATGCTATTTTCAGAATAGTTGTTATCTGTGGGTGAAAGAGAAGTTTGACATTTATTTACTTATGATTTGCCCTGAGAGATAGACTTAGAGGAAAATGATAGGAATATTGGCTGTCAGTTTGAGGATAAGCATTAATCTTCATAAGCAGCACAGGGCTGAGTTCATATGATATATTTCTACAAAGAGACAATTTTTGGAATGAATCTAATATATTCTAATTTTTGGAAATGATACTTTCTAACTTACAAACAACTAAATTATAAAGTTACTAGACTGCGAAGGACTCTTGACATCCCGCTAGCTCTGTTACATGAGCTGTGGCCACTTCTTTGCTTGAAGCCCACTGCAAAAACCTATCTATTAGGAAACATCTACAAGGAAAATAAGACAGTGTTTTGTTTTCATGTGAGGCATTGAATTCAGTGTACACTCGAACGTGTCTTGATTTTCATCTCACCCCACTTCATCCCAAAATATTAGTTATAAATTTATTTCTTAGAGTATAAAGGAGTGCTGTTTTCTCTAAGGTCACTTTTCATGCAAAAAAATGAAAAAGCTGCTCTCCCTGTACCTGTCTCCATGCCAATCCTGGTGAATTATCAGGACTTTGTGTTTCAGTAATCTAGACAGTTCTTATACATGGGGGTAATCGATAGCATATTGCCTGTTTCTATGAGAAAAAATAAATTTGGTAAGTGGAGTATACTACCTCACTGTTAAGATCCTGGGTAATTTTATGTCTGATTTTTCAAGATAGAAAATACAAATGTGTTGTATAATGGTACTGAAGATGGTCTCAGCCATACACTTGAAAAGCAGATAAATATCTGAGAACTGATAGAAAGTCAGAGTTTCTACAACATTCATGGAGATCGGAGTCTGAGAGGAACTCCTTGGAGAAGCAGAACATCATATGAAATGTCCATGTTGATGCCTATGAGAACTAGACAATGGGCATCTTAGCTATGGGTGACTGAGGGAAAATGTCATGCTAAACTTGACATGGAGAAAATGGAGCCAACAGCAGAGATAGCTATCATGTGATAATTAATAGCACCTCCCAAAGAGGTTGTCAGAGTATCCAGAGAAATAATTTATATAACGGTCTTGACATATAATAAGTCTTCAATATTTCTTAGTTATTTTTATTATCATTCTAAATATTCTTCATACATTTCTACTTAAGTACACCATGGAATACTATGCAGCCATAAAAATGATGAGTTCATGTCCTTTGTAGGGACATGGATGCAATTGGAAATCATCATTCTCAGTAAACTATCGCAAGAACAAAAAACCAAACACCGCATATTCTCACTCATAGGTGGGAACTGAACAGTGAGATCACATGGACACAGGAAGGGGAATATCACACTCTGGGGACTGTTGTGGGGTGGGGGGAGTGGGGAGGGATAGCATTGGGAGATATACCTAATGCTAGATGACGAGTTAGTGGGTACAGCGCACCAGCATGGCACATGTATACATATGTAACTAACCTGCACAATGTGCACATGTACCCTAAAACTTAAAGTATAATAAAAAAAAAAAAAAGAGTGTTGAGTTCTAAGACTTGCCTAGTCTTAGAACAATTTTTTTCCATGATGACTGAGGACCCTTATGGAGCTTAATTCACCCTCACATTGACTTATTAAACACACACACACACACACACACACACACACACTTCATTGACAAGAGAAGCTAACTTCCTTGAAGGGATATAAACTGAGGCATAGAACAGAAAAAAAGAGAAAAATAAAAGAAATTGTCTGTCTTCCTCATGTCCAAAATTTTTCATTGTTACTTAATATGTTGGTATCCACTTTCATAAGTAAATTTAGCATAAAATTTAAGGAGCTCTTGAAGAATTTATGAAAAACATAGGGATTTTTTAAAGTACAATGTAATTTTATTATAACATTTTAGCCTAAAAGATGGATATAGATAGACTATATACAAATCTCAAAAGGGAAGTTTAACTATATATGCTTAGGATATGAGGCAGAGCTCAGCATATCTCTTGGCAATAGAGATGCATCATTAGACAATTTTGTTGTGTGAATATCACAGTGTGTGTGTACTTATATAGACCTAGATAGTATAGCATACTACCCACCTAGGATCTATGGTATAGCCTATTGCTCCTAGTCTACAAACCTGTACAGATATTACTGTAGTTGAATACTATAGGCAGTTGTAACACAGTAATGGTATTTGTGTATTTAAACATGTCTAAACATAGGAAAGATACAGTAAACATATGGTATTACAATCTTATGAGACCACTGTCGTACATATGACCTGTTGTTGACTGAAATGTTAATACAACATGTCCATAGTCTAGTTTTAATAGCCATCCATATGGACATTTCATATGATGTTCTGCTTCTCCAAGGAGTTCCTCTCAAACAGGCTCAGATCTCCATGAATGTTGTAGAAACTATGACTTTCTGCAGATCCCAGATATTTCAATGCTTTTCCAGTGTCTGGCAGAAACTATCTTCAGTATTAAAAGCTACTACAACATAATAAAATTTCGGTCAACAGCAGATCACATATATGACAGTGGTCCCATAAGATTATAATACCATAGGTTTACTGTATCTTTCCTATGTTTAGATAAGTTTAAATACACAAATACCATTACCATGTTACAACTGTCTATAGTATTCAGTACAGTAACATCTGTACAGGTTTGTCGCCTAGGAGCAATAGGCTATACCTTAAATGCTAGGTATGTAATAGGCTATACTATCTAAATTTATATAAGTACATACATACACTCTGTGATATGGTTTGGCTGTGTCCCCACCCAAATCTCATCTTGAATTGTAGCTCCCATAATCCCCACATGTTGTTGTGGGAGGTAACTGAATCATGGGGGCAGGTTTTCCTATGCTGTTCTTGTGATAGTGAATATGTCTATTGAGATCTGGTGGTTATATAAAGGACAGTTCCCCTGCACATGCTCTCTTGCCTGCCACCATGTAAGATGTGCCTTTGCTTCTATTTTGCCTTATGCCATGATTCTGAGGCCTCCTCAGCCATGTGGAACTGTGAGTCCATTTAACCTCTTTTTCTTTATAAATTACCCAGTCTTGAGTATTTCTTCATAGCAGTATGAAAATGGACTAATACAGTAAATTGACACCAGTAGAGTGGGGCACTGCTATTAAGATACCCAAAAATGTGGAAGATACCCAAAAATGGGTAACAGACAGAGGTTGGAACAGTTTGGAGGACACAGAAGGAGACAAGAAAATGTAGGAAAGTTTGGAACTTCTTATAGACTTGGAGGGCTCAGAAGACAGGAAGACGTGGGAAAGTTTGGAACTTCCTAGAGACTTGTTGAATGGTTTTGACCAAAAAGTCCAGGCTGAGGTGATCTCAGATAGAGATAAGGAACTTATTGGGAACTGGAGCAAAGATGATTCTTGCTATGCTTTACCAAAGAGACTGGCAGCATTTTTCTCCTGCCCTAGAGATCAGTGAAGCTTTGAATTTGAGAGAGATGATTTAGGATATCTGGTGGAAGAAATTTCTAAGCAACAAAGCATTCAACAAGTGACTTGGGTGCTCTTAGAAACATTCTGTTTTGCCAGGCACCGGTGGCTCATGACTGTAATCCCAGCACTTTGGGAGGCCGAGGTGGGTGGATCATGAGGTCAAGAGATCGAGACCATCCTGGCCAACATTGTGAAACCCTGTATCTACCAAAAATACAAAAAGTAGCTGGGCATGCTGGCATGTGCCTGTAGTCCCAGCTACTTGGGAGGCTGAGGCAGGAGAATCACTTGAACCCAGGAGGCAGAGGTTGCAGTGAGCTGAGATCATGACACTGCACTCCAGCCTGGGTGATAGTGAGAGACTATGTCTCGAAAAAAAAAATCAGTTTTATGTATTCACAAAGATATGGTTGGGAATTAGAACTTATATTTAAAAGGGAAGTAATAAATTTTGGAAAGTTTGCAGCCTGATGATTCAACAGAAAAGAAAAAACAATTTTCTGAGGAGAAAGTCAAGCCAGCTACAGAAATGTCCATAAGTAACCAGCAGCCAAATGTTAATTGCCAAGACAATGGGGAAAATGTCTCCAGGGCATGTCAGGGACCTTCATGGCAGCCCCCCATCACTAGCTGGGAGGCCTATGAGAAAAAACTGGTTTCATGGGCCAGCCACAGGGCCTTTCTTCTTTGTGTAGTCTCAGACTTAGCGCCCCGCATTGATGCCCAGCCTTGGCCAAAAGGAGTCAACATAGAGCTCAGGGCATTGCAAACCCCAAGCCTTGGCAGCTTACACAGCTTACACAGAGTGTTGGGCCTGAGGGTGCACAAAAGTCAAGAATTGAAGTTTGGGTATCTCCCCCTAGATTTCAGAGGAGGAATGGAAACTCCTGGATGTCCAGGCAGAGGTGTGCTGCAGGGGTGGAGCCCTCATGGAGAACCTCTGCTAGGGCAGTATGGAAAGGAAATGTGGGGCAGGAACCCCCACACAGAGTCCCCACTGTGGAACTGTCAAGTGGAGCTGTGAGAAGAAGGCCACCATTCTCCAGACCCAAGAATGCTAAATCCACCAATAGCTTGTACTGTGTCCCTGGAAAAGCCACAGACACTTAACTCCAGCCCGTAAAAGCAGCCAGGAGGTGGGCTGTACCCTGCAAAGCCACAGGGGAGAGGCTGCCCAAGACCAATGGATATATATATTTATATATATTTACATTATTTATATATATATTTATATATATATGTATTTATATATGTATTTATGTATATTTTTTGTATTTATATATCTATATTTATATATATTTATATATATGTCACATATTCTGACATAGATTTAATTGGAGTAACTGAAGGATAAGTTAGAAATAAAAGGGCAAAAAATACATGAAAAAGAAAAAATGTATGGCTCAAAATGCCCAAAATAGTGAAATATATCAAATCAAGGCTACAAGAAGCCCAAAGACCATAAGTAAGATGAATAACACACACATTCACAAACAGACATATTTTTAAATTGCTAACCCCCCTCCCCCACCAAAAAAATCCAAATTTTAAAGGTAGCCAGAGAAGAAAAAGGACATTGGTATGAATTCATGGCATGAATGTTTTTGTCCTCTCTAAAATTCATGTGTTGAAAACCTAATTCCCAATGCAACAGTGTTGGAAGGTGAGGCTTAATGGAAGGTGTTTAAATTATGTAGTTTCCACCACTATAAATAGATAAAAGCCTTTAATAAAAAGGGCTTACAGGAGTGGATTTGTTGTCTTCTGCTCTCCTGCCATATGAAGACACAGAGTTCATCTCGTTTGCCCTTCTTTCTTCTGTCATGTGAGGATGCAACAAGAAGGGCCTCACCAGATGCCAGTTGCTGGCACATTGATCCTAGACTTCCAAGCCTCCACAACTATGAGAAAACAAATCTCCATTCTTTATAAATTATTCAGTCTGTGGCATTCTGTTATAGCAGCACAAAACAAACTAAGACAGACACATTACATACAGAAAAACAAAGATAAAAAATATAGCTGGACATGATGGCTCACATTCGTAATCCAAGCATTTGGAGAGGCTGAGGCAGGAGGATCAAGTAAGCCCCGGAGTTTGAGACCAGTTTGAGCAAACTGTCTGTAGAGACCCTGTCCCTATCAAAAGTGAAAAAAATTTAAATAAATTATGCAGGTGTGATGGTGTATGCCTGTGGTCCCAGCTACTCAGGAGCCTGAGGTGGAAGAATCCCTTGAGCCTAGGAGGTTAAGGCTGCAGTGAGTCATGACCATGCCACTGCACTCCAACCTGGGTGACAGAGCAAGACTTTGTCAAAAAAAAAGAAAAGAAAGAAAGAAAGAAAGAGAAAGAAAAAAAGAAAGAAAGGAGAAAAATGGGAGAGAGAATTATAGACCTACATTGCATATATAACGCATATTTCTTCAGGAAATATGCATTCAGAAGCCAATGAATTGACTTGTTTAAAGTACCGAATGGAAAAAAAAAACCTGTCAACCCAGAATTCTCTAACAAGTAGAAATAGCTTTACAAAATGAAATTAACACAAACACTTTTTCTGACAAAAACTGAGAAAATTCATTGCCAGTAGGAACACAATACAAGAAATGCTAAAGGGAGATCTTCAGGCAGAAGGAATATGAATGCAGACAGAAATTTGAATCTACACAAAGAAATTGTGAGCTCTAGAAATAGTAAAAGTGAAACACAAATAATAACCTATTTTTAAAGTTTTAAATTGTTTGTTTCCTGTTGTATACCTTGTTCTTTTACTATATTTATGGGAAGTGTTATCTCTTAATACCTAACATTTTTAGTTTATATTTTATTTTCCTTGTAACCATGATTTTATTTTGTTTTTAAAACAAAGCCATTAGCATCTTGATTGTACTATGTAAACTTTATCATGGGAAAGAAAAACCTTCCTGTAAGTAGATCTAAATGATTAAATATTTCTATATGAATTCTAATGATTGTAGTTGATAATTACTCAATTTCGGGGTAAAGCCTATCAAACAGTAAAGGAGTAATGATTTTACATGTAAAAATTATGTTCATATAAGAATAATGGCAAAAATGAAGCACAAGGTGAAATGTTTTAATGTTTGGTGTTGTTACGTTAAAAGACTTGCTTATTAATACTCAGCAGCATGAAGCAGTTTTAACAGATGGGTGAAAAATCTCTGTCAACAGTGTTATAACCTTGCCATTATCTGAAATGCAGCCAATAAAAATGCACTTCGTTTGTGTGGCTGAAAGTCTGTCAGTTTATTCCTGTTCTTGAACAAAAGCTCTGTAAATGACATTTTGGCATTTGTATTTTACATCAAATATGGCCATAGAGAAATAAACCTTTGATGAACTACTTCCATATGTATCTCATTAAAAATTCATAAAAGATTTTATTTGCCAAATAAAAAGCAAAATGCTATTTTCCAGAATCAAATCAAAAATGATAGCAATAAAATGAATTTTCTCCAATTACAATTATTATGTTCACACTAAATACATAGCAAATTATCCATCCTCCCATATCCTCCCACAAAGTTTAACAAAATATTAGAGAAGCATCAGAAATTAGGACCTAAGGAGATTATTATTGCATCATGCACCCGAAAATATAGCCAAACATAACCTATAAACATTTCTCTCATTGTATGACATCTATAAATAAATAAAAAAATTTAAAGAAACAAAAATGGTATATAAATAGTATTCCAGTGTCTCAATTTAAGGAGTGGAAGATGTCTGAAGTATCAATTCACTTATTCAATCCAGTTCCTAATACTAAAGAGAAGAATACATCAGAAGCGTGTGTGTTATACCTTGTTCTTCTTTCCCTGTCACTTGTTACAAGGAAAGCTTGGCTTGACTCCCTTGCTTTATCCACAAAGCCCAGGTTCTATCACCAGGACTGTGTGAAGTAATCTCTCAGCAAATGGCTTTGCTGCTTCGGTGCCATCCCCCCAAGCACAGGACACATGAAAATATGAGGCACTCTTGTCCTGTGGTTTAGCTTCTGTAGTGCTCTCATTTACCCTCCTCCTCTAAGTCTTGCTCTCTCCTCAGAGTCCTATCAATCGGCTCATCCAGCTCATCCAGCCCACCCTTCGGTAACCCACAATGAGTTCAGGCTTTTAGCAAGAGCCTGGAGAGATAGTGTCATCTAATATTTTATCTGGGGCCAGCAAATACTAAGAAACTAGAAAAAGTTTGAATTGGGGCAAAGGTAACATATTGAAAACAAAAACAATTTATTATCCCAATATTACACTCTGCTATGTATGACTATCAAATACATAATGGATAATCAGGTCACCCAAAAAAAATTCGGGCTGGGCCTTCAAAAGTACATAATATCTGCATAAGACTAGTAATAGAAGGTGTTATTCCATGCATCAGGAATCTAAAAGAAACAAAAGGAAATGAAAACAAGGGCAGTGAGAATAATGACTCCATCGTAGTTTTTATTCTATTAGAAGGAAAGCAGAGCTAAGAGTGGAAGTGTCTGAAATAGATATGGAAGGGTTAAATCATTCATTTCCTTATAAGTAAACTAGAGAAGATTTTACTTGATACAAGAAGAAAAAGAAAACATATGACTCCCCCCACAACAGAGGAAAATTAAAATGTTTTAGGAAGATTTGAAAAATAAAAATACCATGTAGAATGAATGTGTGAAGTAGAGAGAAGACATAAGGAGACTTCTTATGCATTCTTGTTTAATCTTTACTCTGTGTGAGAATACTCTTCTTAAAGTATTATACCCTCTTCTCATATTGTCTCAGAAAGGGAGTTCATATTGTAACCCACTGCCATGGTTATATATTTATGCTGAAGCTTTCCATATACAATTTCCCACATTGTGAAATAAATTACCTGTTTTACAAATAATAATTTCTCTTTCAGAACTCAAATTACAATGTTCTAAAACTTTGTAAACCATACAACTAATTTAACAAATCAGAAGCGAAAGATATATTCATTCTTTCTTGTATATAAAATATATATCTCATTTTTTACACTGAAATTCAAATTCCCTTTACCAGTTATTTTCCTAGATCCAAACTCATCATCTGTTCTGCGATACTAGGGCTAGGACTTGGCAAACCATACTCTTGCTTTGCCAATTAGCTCCCTATTAGATTCTGACAACAAGGAATATTTAAAAAGAGACCAAAAGGCTGGAAGAATCAAAAAGATACATACCCCTTGCTATTTCATTTCAAATCCTTTTTGCTTCCTGTTCCTGTTGTTGCTTCAGGAAAGCTTCTTCGCCCTGGAAATAGTTTCAGTGGCAGCATTTGATAGTGGTTTGCAGTTTTTCTAATACTCCTAAAATAAGGCTCATGACATTCCCTCAGAGACCCCAGCTAAACCCAGCCAGTATCTCTTCCTCAGATACATGAATTTCATAGATGGAGAGACTCATTCATGCTTCTAAGTTTTAATAATTTTAAACTCTTCCTTTTGTCACTAAGCCCTAAGGTTGTCGAATACTTCTTGCTGTTATTACCTATGTGTTACTTTGGTGGTTGCTTTAGCCTTTTTTATTTTTTCAAGCTGTAGTTAACAATTCTTTATGTTAAATTCTTTCTGTTAAAATAACTGATGTGGTGTATATCTCCTTATTGGACCTCCCTGGCTGAAAAAGATATTGGTACCAGGAGCGAGGACTCAAAAATAGAAACCTTCAAAGACGGAAGTTTGAAATTGGCTTGGTTATGTCTCTAGTAGAGAACACAGTACTGAGCTCCTTACAAGTGGCAAATGGATGGAGCTAATCCACAACATGTAGTGCCATCATGATTAATCTCATTACTGCCTCTGTTTTATGTTGATGAATCAAGTTCCTTGGGGCACCAAGCGACTGCTTCTCTCAACTGTTAACTGTAGTCAGGATGACTCCAAGGGGTGCACTGGGTTATTTACAGAAACAAAACAAGCTCAGCCCTGTCACAGCTCAAATTAGAGTCAGATAACTGTAGAAATTCTATAACAGTCCTAAAATAAACCCTTATTCTTTATAGCTACAGGCCTGGTCTTAATTAAAATCAGACATAAATTTTAATTGAGTGGGTTGCAAAAGTATAACAGAAGTCAAATTTGCAGCCTCATCAATTCTCTCATGTAAACGTTAGGATATTGTTTGGGAAAGAATGGGATCCTCATAATTGAAAAGATTTCATTGGATTGGATACAAATGAAGCTGAGAATCTTCAACCCCAAGTCACCCCGAACCTCCCTTGCCAGTGGAAGTAGTCTCCTCTTTTGTTTCTGAGACCAGTCTTTCCCTACTGGAAGATCCTATACTATAACCTCACCTTGGGGCTCACAAATTGATGCTTATTCTCAAGGTCTTCTTGTTGTTATTCTGTCCGCAATGAGAATCATACCCCAGCATGATCCAGAAAGACAAATACCAAGTCTGACTAGGGTAGAAATAGATTATATATCAAAATAATTGCAACAGTTTTGTACATTTATGTTGGCAGAAATCTGGAATGTAATTTAGGGTTACATCTATATGTAATTAGAACTAAACCCAAAACTTAATTCTGTAATTTATAATAAATTCTACAAATACTATATATCATTTATAGTATATACCAATAAATGGTACCAGTGACTTGTGTAGTGCTGAGTTCTTTCATATATTATCTCATTTAATTTGCCCCTACCCTTAGTAAGACTCTAACTATTATCCCCATTTTATAGATAAGGCTAGAGAGATTCAACTAACTAAATTCAGACTGTTAAAAAAAGCGCAGAATATGAATATCCTTTGGCAAGTGTTATTTATATTTCTAAAATATAGTATTCTTCTTGATTTAAGAAAATGCTTTATTTTCTGGTATGAAAAATCATGTTAATAATCTTGCCTTAGTTCAGAATCCTTCATTCTTATATTCAAGATAAACAATTTATAGACATTTTAGCAAAGGTAAGACAGAAATCAATATTTTTAGCATTTTCTTTTTTAAATAAAATGTCCCGTTTTCTTTTATAATTTTGTTAACTTTTATGTTTTTACCTTAATTTTATGTTTTTACCTTATCCCATCTCATCTTACAATGAATTCTCCCCAAAATGTCATGTTGTATTGACTAGGTGTCACTACCTGAAAACTTTGATGTTTGTTGAGTTCATCCCTGGTCATTTCTTATGCACTGTTGGGTATTAGGCAGAATTGAGCAGACTCTACAATGGAGAGGTAGGTGTGTACACCACCAGGCCACAAGGCAGAAGTATTGTCTCTATTTCCTCCCTTCTTCTAAAAATATTCAGTATTTCATAGACAAGAAAACAGTACATGCACCTGATTGAGCCTGCGCATTGGAGTCTGGCCGACTTGAAGCTGAGTGAATCGAGGCCCATCACTGGAACACTCTGGGCTTTATTTTCCTCATCTGTGAAAAAAGAACAATAATGTTTGCTCCTGGAATTACTGTGAGGACTTTATGGGATTAAAGCAAAGCCTTTAGTTAACATGGTGCTGCCTGATACATGCACCCAGTGTTATTAATAGGTGTGATGGTTAATATTGAGTTGTCAACTTGATTGGATTGAAGGATGCAAAATATTGTTCCTGGGTGTGTCTATGAGGGTGTTGCCAAAGGAGATTAACATTTGAGTCAGTGGACTAGGAGAGGCAGACCCACCTTCAATCTGGGTGGGCACCATCTAATCAGCTGCCAGTGTGGCTAGAATAAAGCAGGCAGAAGAATGTGGAAGGACTTGAGTTTCTGAGTCTTCAGGCTTTTACCTTTCTCCCATGCTGGATGCTTCCCGCCCTCAAACATCAGACTCCAGGTTCTTCAGCTTTTGGATTCTTGGACTTACACCAGTGGTTTGCCAGGAGCTTTCAAGCCTTCAGCCACAAACTGAAGGCTGCACTGTTGGCTTCCCTACTTTTGAGTTTTTTGGACTTGGACTGGCTTTCTTGCTCCTCAGCTTGCAGGTGGTCTATTGTGGGACTTCACCTTGGATTGTGTGAGTCAGCACTCCTTTATAAACTCCCCTTCATATACACATCTATCCTATTACTTCTGCACCTTTAGAAAACCCTGACTAATACAATAGGCTATGCCCTGGAATTAAAATGAGTACTCCATCTACTATATAGTAACAAAATGACTTTGTGTGTGTGTGAGCTGTGTGTGTTTGTATAAGAGAGAGAGAAAAACAGAATCTGAGAGAAGAAAAGGACAAAACAAGAGGAAGGGAAGAAAATTTGTGTTTATGGAAAGATGTTTTGGGAAAAGAGGATTAACATGAGTTTTCTGTTAAAGTAAAATATTTAACTTTAGTTACAGAATGCCATAATAACATCAAGTCTCTGATGACACAGGAAAAATAAAGAACAAATTTAAGGCAATTATTACATAATTATGTTTCAAATTTTTTGCTATGAGTAAGCAAGGAATTTATAATCTGAAATAGAAAATTAATGTATTAAATTGTTACTTTCAAGTTTATTCTGCCTAAATAATTAGAGCTAAATAAAACATTTGAATCTTAAAAATTGCATAGATTACTCACATTTAATTTACTGAAAATTCGGGTCAATTCAAAAATATTCTGTAATTAAGTGTTTACAGAAAATATTTCTGTTCTGGCATGTTTAAGGAAACGTGTAGTAAACACAATTGGCCAAGGTTGCATAACAGACATTATATAAATTCATTTTTTATTAGAAATATTCAATGTTTATTTTAAATCATAAAATGTAGTTCAATCATCTCGCTACACATTTGCAGATGCTTTCTTGTTAAACTAGGAAACTCAATGTGCTGGTGAGCCTGCTGATGGAGGTTAGGAGTAGTCCTGGCAAAGTTGCCTTGGCCTCTTTCCCGGAGGCACTTTTGGAAGGAGATGACTTTTGCCTCCCACGTTTTCTGTCCAATCCACCATCAGGCATCGGTACAGCAGATGGGTGCTGCCACGTACCTGCAGTCAGTGCTACCTCCACTTCTTCATGAACTTAGTTACCTGTTCTACTTCCTTGTAACTCCTTCTCATAAATATTTATTGATGCCCTGATATGTGCAAGAGAGAACCAAGGTGAGCATAGATACAAATCCTTATCCTGAGAGCTTTACTCACCTTTTACATCCCAGTCTTGTTTCTGACATTTTCCTGGTCAAGTTACTTCATGTCTGGCACAGATTGGATTCCTTTGTACATATTACTCTCACTTCTATATTATATTTTTATGCTATATGCGCTTTTTTATGGCATATGGGAGGCAAAATCATCTCCTTCCAAAAGTGCCACCAGGAAAGAGGTCAAGGCAACTGTACTAACCTCCATCAGGTTGTTCTGTTTTATCAGCTGTCCCAAATCTCCATGCTTAATTACACTTTCAGAACTTACTTCTTCATAACTTATATACAGCTTATTATGGAATAGGGGTTTCTTAGTCATTCCAATCAAACTGAGGAACTTTTTGTTTGTATGTTTTGACACACATCTGCCCTGTTGACCCTAAGAGTGCCTGATTCTATAGGTCCATATGGTGTCCTGCTTTTATGTTTTCTGTCCAGGTTTGTTAATATGTCTGACTCATCACTTAATCGCTGAGTCCAAAGTTACCTCTGTGTCATGAGAATACAGTTGTCTCTCAGTATCCATGAGAGATTCGTTCCAGAACCCCTGCAGATACCAACATTTCTGGATGCTCAAGTCCCTTTTATAAAATGGTGTCGTGCTTGCATATGACCTATACACATCCTCCTGAATACTTCAGATCATCACTAGGTTACTTATAACTGCTAATGCAATGCCCAACATTGCTTCATCACATGAATTCAATGTCATACTCAGCACACAGCAAATTCAAGTTCTGTTTTTTGGAATTTTGTAAAATTTTTTTCCAAAATATTTTTGATCAGCAATTGGCAGAATCCATGGATGCGGCAATCTCAGATGTAAAGAGAAGACTGTATGTCCTTTTCTTGAATTTTGAGAGTCAAATGCCCTGATGTGATTTAGGGAATAATTTGGCATATTTTGGTTTTGGCACTGAAAGGTAGGAGACGGGGTGGTGAGGAGGACACGATGTGCAAACGATAGCAAAATAAAGTTCTAATATTTAGCTAGGGAATGTAATTGATGTAGCCTGACTAGGCATATTCAATATATATATAACACTTCATAGGTCAACAATTGGTGGATATGCTCTGTCTATGCTCTAAAGATAGAATCACAGAGCTCTGTAGCTACTTCCTTAAGGGCTTCCTCAGCTACAGCATTGGCAGAAGTCACGTCCTTCCCAGGGCAGCTTACATGGAGTGACTAAATGAAGCAGGGATATAAAGGCCTGGCCATCCCAACCAAACCAGGACTCTGGGATGAGAAATCTCACTTTTGAGCTTCCCACTAAGTTGATTGAGGTTTGCTGAGCCTGCACAACTCTTGAACTTCTTTCTCTGCACAATCCTGCTTCCTCCTCTTCCCTTCACAGGTTTTGGTTCATAATAAACATCTTTCAACACGTGCCTTCAAAGAATCTAACTTGTGACGAATGAAGCAAACAGGAGTATATAAGCAGACCAAAAAAAAAGAAAAAAAAGAATATGTGAAATCTTCATCTTGTAATGTTAAACTTCCAGTTCTGTTTAGACATCAGTGTTGTTAGCACATAGTTCGTTAGAATATAGATTATGAAGATCTCGGTCTCATCAAGTAACCGTGCTTACAAGAGCTGGAACCAATAAACAATTATAATACAATAAGCCATAAACATCTGGCCTATTAAAACTTTATAAATTAAATTTCTGTTGCAAAAAATGGATAAACTATAGATTCAGTGGACTCCCCTTTTTCTGCTTAAATCTGATGAAAGCCAGCATTTGTTTTTTTCTCAAGTAAGATGAGAAACTTTGTCTAAAGTGAAGTAGTCACAACATCTACATCTACCTGTCTTTCAAAATCCCCTTTCTTCTCTTTCAGGTGAAGCAGTGCTCCTCCTAGCCAAGAATCATGCATCAGAACCCTTCTTTCTTCTACATCCTCTGGGACTTCATTCTATCAATTTGCTCTTCTTTTTTTTTGTCTTCAACCTCCATCTTTTTGTGATGATAATTAAGTACTCACATGTACACACATTCAAAAACACAGAAATAAGGTGCTTTTGTTTTGTGGAGACACTTTTTCCTTTTCCAATTCTAACAGGTATGCATGTTTGAACTGCTTTATTTCAAAAGAATAAAACAAGATTTTCAAATATAATTAAGCATATTAAAAAAGCGTAAAATAATACTTTTAATAAAATTCATATCATATTTAGGTACAATAAACAGTATTTGCCAAATATGTTAATGTATTTTTCATCTCATTTTTCTATTTTATGTCTGTAATTTAACTATTGTTAGTACTCTAGCACATATATGCATTTTATATATTTTTTATTAATAGTGGTGCACAATTGAAATTTTGGTAACTATTGAATTAAAGAAAATTGGTTTCATATAATATCTTCCTGCAATATTTGAATACATATAAAAATCCTTACCAAAAGCTAAGACATAAATCTATGTACCTCTATTTTTAATCCAAAGTCATTTTATAAGTTGAGAAAGTAATTGAAAATGTATTTTTCCTGTAAAGAAATGCACTAAGCATTTTTTTCATATAAAATTTAATGAGTCAATTGCTAAGCAAATATTACCATTGGGGGTGAAGGACATATGAGTTCTATCTGTATTATTTCTTATAACTGCTTATGTATCTACAATATCTCAAAATAAAAAGTTAAAATTAATGAGTCAAAAGTTATCAGGGTTGAATTTTTGATTCCTACAGGTTGCATGAATAATATTATCAGATAATATACACAAGATCAGAGTTGCAAGATAATATTAACTTTATCTAAATGTTCATGAATAGTTTCAGATATATCTTTTGAAACTGACTATTTTAATGTACATGTATTGTAATACAAAGGTAGATTAAAAGTTATTCTAAAAATTGAGTGTACAGAGTAGAATGTTCAAAATCTCTCTCACCAAGCATTATTCATAATTCCAGTCCTTTTCTCAGAAAAAGCCACTGTTACTCATTATATTTGTTTTATTCAGTACGAGTGTTTTCAACATATTTTTTGGTCACTACAATAAAGATTAATATGCTTAACAGCTATATCACATTTAACATCTGCTTGAATTGGATGTGCCATAAATCACTTAACCATTTTTCTATTAATAAAATTACATTAATATCCAATAGTTTATTATTACAGTAAAAGATGCAATTAAACATTTCTACATATCTTTTTGTCTAAATGTAAATATATTTCCATAGGAAATCAAACTGTTGAATTTTGAATATTTACATTTAAGTTCTGAGGGCTCTCAAATTGTCCTCCACAACATATTAATAGAACTTTATGAAAGTATAATTTTCCCCACATACTGTTAAATGTAATATTAACAAATGAAGAGTGATAACATGGTGGGCAAACTATTAGATATTTTGGTTATTTTAATTTCATTTTACTGATTACTAAAGGTATTTGGCATTGTTCATATGCTCATAGGCCATTTGAGTTACTTCTTCTGTGAATTGCTTGTGCAATTCCTCTACTTAATAATCTATTGTCTTGCTTGTGGTAGTTCTTTTTTCTGTGTACATTAATCATTTTATAATGATATGTTTCAAACATTTCTCTTAGTTTTTTCCTGTACATTGTTAAAATATTTAGAGATGACCTGAAAACATTTGTTTCAAGCTCTCTGAATTTTATTTTTTATTGTTTAAAAAATAATATAAATCATAACTGTGTTTTAATTCAGTTTTTTGTCTGTGTGTAAATTTTTACTTGGAAATTTAATGAATGCGGTTTTTTTGTAGTGAAAGAAAATTATAGTTTTATTTTTGTTTTTCAGTTGGATGAGCAAATTGGTTCATTATTATTTTGTGAATAGTGAATCATATTTCAATGATTTTAAATGTCAAATGTATACACACTAAAGTCTGCTATCATCATAGGTCTATAATTATCTGGCTATGCTTTCACTAAAAATACCTTTTAGTCACCATATCTTTAAAATGTGTTTTTACATATTATAAGCAACAATACTCATATTTGTTGAATTTTCTAGGTATAAAATCACATAGCAATTTTATCTATTACTAAGCAATATTAAATCTGTTACTTTGTTACTGTTACTTCAAGTACCCATAGAACCATTCTGTTTTTTATTTTTAGTACACTATTCAATAAATTACATGAAATATTCAGCAATTTCTCATATAATAGGCTTTGTATTGGATGATTTTTGCTTGACTGGAGACTAATGTAAGTATTCTGAAGATGTTTAAGATGAGCTAGGTTATGATGTTTGGGAAGTTAGATGTATTAAATGCATTTTCAGTTCAAAATATTTTCAGCTTACAATGAGTTTATCAGAATGCAATCCACTCATAAGTAAAGGAGCATTTGCATTTCTTTTTATTGCTAACTTGAATGGAAATATTGATAGTATTTCATCTTTAAGAATTGTTTGGTGGACCTCATGAAATATTTAAGGATGAAGCTCAAACTCTCTAGTAACCAGGTAAATACAAATTAAGAACAAATCATACTATTGCACATCTATTGACATTTAGTGACACTTAATGAAATCAGTGAAAAATCAATACTAAATGGTTAGTATATTGTAGAGAAACAGAGAGTTTCATACACAAATGTGGGAAGTGTTCATTAGTCCAGCAGTTTTGGAAAGCAATTTATCGATACCTAGAAGAACTGAGGAAAGACATGGTCCTTTGATTATTATGTTATTAGTGTAGCGAATTCTATAAATATACATGGTTTTACATTGGTTCATAATTTCTGAAAACAATTGTTCATGAATGTCATCAATGCTAAATGAAATGGAAACAATAGGTAACAAATGGGAAAAGTGTGCTATATTTAGACAAGGAAATATAATGTACTATATTTACACAAGGAAGTATAACATATTATATTTACATAAGAAATTGTAATGAACTATATGGTCATTTTAGAAGTTATATGTTTTACCATAGATTCATTGCAAAAATGTGACTTAAAAGTATCAAGTTGAAGAATGATATAGCATAATGACAGTTACATTAAGTTTTAAAATAATTCAAAAAGCCCATAATAAAATTTGTGTTAAAACTCAGCATAGGAGAGTAACAAGCATAGAGGCAGAGGATACACTCCAATTTTGGGATAATGGCTTTCTCTAATGAAAGATGCCTCACAGGGTGGGAAATAGTAGGTTCATAGGTTAAGGGCTTTAAACTGGAATTCATCTTTAAACATTTTGATCTGAAGGAAATATCTTAAGGTTTGCTATTATGAATGTTGGAAACAGATATTTTCTCTAATTGTTGGTGCTGGAAATTTTTCATTAAAATTGTATTTTACTTTGCTTTTAGAACAGGAAACAAAATATTACTTATGGAGAGGATATTTCTTCTTAGGTTTAACTTTTCTTATGTTTAACAAAATTTTTTAAGACATACAGGAAGAGAGAGATACAATGCAATATGTTGCGGTATCATCAGACAGATATAATACAATATATTTTTTAACTGCAAAAATTAAATTATTAAATTAAAATTAAATCATTAAAGCAACTATGGCAGTGTATGACAGCCTATTTTAAGACTGATTTAAGCGATAGTGATTGGCATGGAGTAAAGGGTGGAAGATGGAAAAAAAAAAAAACATACCAATGACTACTTTAATCAACTTCTTTGTTTTTCAGAGAACCAAACTAAGGAGCATAGTGCTCACATGACTTCCTAAGGTCATACTACTTTCTATTCTGGGCTCTTTTCTCAGCACTGTCGTGTGTTCAATTTCCTGTGCATTCCCAAATTTTTTGAATTAGTCTTAAGATGTTCCCTTATTAACATAATCAATTCCATGAGCATTTTTCTAAACATTTAACTTACCTACATAGAAATGTAATATAAGGTTTGCTATTTGCAGTAATAACAATCTATTTCTCCCATGTTTTGAAATCTTTATACAAAATACAAGAGTCTGATTATTTTGTTTTTGTTTTTGTTTTGTTTTGTTTTCATGGGTATAAGTATTCTATTTTCAACATACCTTTAAACATATTGATTTCTGTCTGGATTGCTTTGTGGACACTAATTTCTTATGTGCAATGTTCTTTATGTAAAACTATAATTTTGTATCATTGAAAGGTATTGAAATGTTCATAATGACCCATGAATCAATACCAAATATTTATTTTAACCTTCCTCTCCCTTGTTGTATCTAACTCAACTGTAATTAAGCCCAACGTTTTCTTTCAGTCTCTCCCCAAAGAACTCCTTCATTTTCTGTGTTACTGCAACATGATTTCCATGTCTGCTGCTCTGCCAACATCACCTTGTCCCTCAGGAAAGGGAGCTGTGCACAAAGGCATAGTCTTTAAAGAAGAAAGTAGAGCTGAAATATCTCCATGACCACTACTCAATATTGCTCCAGAGCTCTGTAGAATACTAATGTTCACTCAGAGGAGTAATGAATAAACAAATACAATTATATATATTTAAACTATTGTACTATTGTTTTTTCTATAAAAATGATTTGAAAACAGTCCAGGTAATCTTGGATTTGAATGAAATCTATCATGACTTCCAGTTATCAGTTACAAAACTGGTCAATTAAATTAATGAAAAGTTTTTAGTATAGCCAAGTTGTTCATGTTTTTAGAATGGAAAATACATTTTAGTTTCTTTTATTTTAAATTGTTGCTTAGCAACATTATTTTTAGCCTTGCAATAAATGTAACAATAGAAATTAGTGTCAGTTATAGTATTATTTCTTAGGCTATTAAATACATGCCAGCTATTAAAATACAACTCAAGGTGGTCATTAATTTCTTTAGCAATCAAAGAAATAACATTTTAGCAGCATTTAGTGATGCCATGGGTAGTTGATATTATTCAAGTGTTGGCTTCTATTCATATTTAAATCGTGAGAGTTGGAGGAAAAGTTCACATTAGTAAACTATTGATAAAATGCACATTTTTCTATGTGATTTTTGTGTATATTTCTCTGTGTGTGTGTGTGTGTGTGTGTATGAAAGAGACAGAGACAGAGATAAATTTCTGTCTTTGATTATGAAAGGTTTTCCACTATTCCCTACAACAACACTCAACTCTCAGTTGCTTTTCTATCTGATACATGGATTGTTTGAACAGTTTTGGAGAGGTGCATATCAAACTTCCTTCATCAAAATCAAAGCACAAGTCAGTAATACAATTAACCTTGGAAGAGAAATCAAGATGAAATAAATGTTTTATTTTGGCTGCTAGGGAATAGTAAACCAGATATCAATAATTCCTTGATTTAGAGTATCACACTCTTTTAATTTGCATGCTATTTGTTTTGTCTGTGGTTATTTTGAAATATTCCATATAAATTGTTGGATAATAATATATTTGGGAAGCTTGGTATATATTGTATTATATACACAACTGGTTAATTTCCTGCAGTGTAATAAATTGTATTTTGGGGAGTTATTATTTATACTGGAAATAAATTATTTTCATCTATACCAGACAACCTCTAAAAGTTAACATGTAACATCAAAATTCTGGGAAATTTAATCAATGTTAAATAGTAAGACACAAAAGTGCCCATGCCTGGATCAAGAGTGAGTAAATACAAGCTTCAGGCTGAAACCAGCCTGATTTCTGTTTTACTATAACAAATAAAGTTTTATTGGGAAAGGAACTTGCTATTTGGCTCTTTACAGAAAATATTTGTCAGCTTCTGCCCTTGATAAATACTTGGATGGCCTTCATACATATATGACATTGAAAGAACGTGCCATTCACCTTTAGCTGAAATTTTCAAATTTTTGATAATTTTTATAACAAAATTAATTTTAACTGCACAAGTAGTTAGCATTTGAAATATCTTAATTACATATCCACTTTTGAATGTGGCAAATTTCTTTATAGGGAGTATTCAAAGTCCATGTCAAAGGATTCAGCAGTTAGCATATGGAACCTTAAAAATAATTTTTATAAACTGAGTGATGTTTAAGAAATGTGGTTTTTAGAAACACATTCTAGGCTCTAGTGCCCTAATATGAATGAGATCTGTGAGTCTGACAATCCCAACAGCCTAAAATTCACAAAGCAGAAATACAGGCTTGAAGTTCTAGATCTCCCCACCTAATAGAAACCTATCCCCTGATTCTGGTGGCTATGTATTCTAAAGGTGAGGACATTTCTCACTATTCCAGCTCACTTATATGGTTTTCTCTTCAGAATTTGTTATTTACATAAAGATAGTGGAAGAACATTTTGTAAATATTCTGAAATTATTTCATTCAGGTCTGTTTCTCTAAACAGAATGGGAGCTCCTTGAGTAAGATCTTGTGTGTGTAACTTCTTTTATATTCAGGGGATATGTTCAATAATCCTAACTTATTCCCAAGGACAGTACAGGGCAAACAGGTACTGATCAGTTAATAAATGTGATAGATAGATAGATAGATAGATAGATAGATAGATAGATAGATAGATAGATAGATAGATGTAGTATTAAAAATATTTAAAATATTAACACCTAGGACAAGAGAAGTTATGCTAATCTTTAAGAATAAAAATTACTTAAATCTATTGTCCTATACAACACATCTGGCTTTTAACAAGCATTTATTAGGCATACTGAAAGGTAAGTAAACAACAGAGTCTGAAAAGAACAAAGAAATTACTAGAACTCAATTTGGATGTGACCCAGGCATATGAATTATCCACAAGAAGTTTCACATAACTATGAATGACATGTTAAAGTTTCTATTGGAAAACATTCACAGCACACAAGATCAGAAAGATAATTTCAGGAGAGAGATGAAAATTATAAAAAAGAATTAATGAAAATGCTAGAAGTCAAAAACATTATAACAGAAATGAAGAATGCTGAGAAAAGTAGTGGTAAATAGAAAAAAAAGTACAAACACAGTAATCACACTTCCAAGAATTGCCTGTAGACAATATGGAATGACATAACATAATCAAAATTGTAATTCAGCAGGAAAATAAAGGGAGAAAGTGGAAGAAGAAATACTTGAATAAATGATCACGAAAGCAAACATTATTTTTTTCAAAATTAGTGGCAGACGCTAAACCCCAAATCCAATAATGTGAGAGGACACCAAACAGGATGAACGTAATAAATAATTTACCAAGGTCAGAGTATTCAAGACCAATACACAGTAAGTCAATTATATTCCTATATATGAGAAATGCTCACAGTGAAATTTGAAATCAAACACAAATACTACTTATAACACCCCCCCAAAATGGGGCATTTAGGTATAAACCTAAACAAAATATGTGCATGATATTTATGCTGAATGTTACAAATTCTGATGAAAGAAATCAAAGACCTCCGTAGACAGAGATGTATACCATATCAATTCTCCCCAATTTGGTCTATAAATTCAACACAATTCAACAAAAATTACTTAAAACTGTACAAGAAAAATCTAAGAGTTGGACAGGTGACACATCTGAGTACCAAACAAATACCTGCTTATCTCATTACATAACAGCCGTTCTATCTCAACCTGCAGATCAGGTCCAATTGCCCTTGCTAGAATAGGTAGTCTACTTTTTACCTGATGACTTTTTGTAGAGAGAAAACAAAAGTTCCTGGGCAGCAGATTTAGCTTAAAGTTTACTGACTTTTGTTTCCTCTGGTAGAAGTGTTCTCTTTTCTGGAAAGAGAACCATTAAATCAACAGAGACTCAAGTTGAGGGAAAAATTCCCCATGGGGGTCATTGGGTGAGGGTAATGGGAGCCATATCTGTTTCTAACCCTTGCTATATTTTATACAATGAGCTTGCAGACTGTATAATGGTTATTAATTTAGAGTGGTTTCATGTCAGATGACAACTCATCTTCATGGGCATCATCTCAAAACTGGCACCTGCACTGCAACTTCGTCAGGCTGTTCTTCCACTGCTTTATTGCTGTATGCTGCTAATTTCTGGGTGATTCCATATATGGTATATGATAGGACCAACACATCCCATTCTCATGCATTAATTTCTGCAACTTCTGTGCTATTAAGATGTGGTGTATTTTAATATATTGTGCTGTGTTGGTGGATCGAACATTTTGTGAGTTCATGTGCATGTGCCCTATGCACAGGAAATGCAAAGACATGCAGTGAAAAGAGTTGGTTATTGTCAGAATGAATTAATTACTACCTTGTGTAGAGTAGAAAGGATATAGTACCAATTTGCTACTATGTGGTTTGTTTCTCTTGTTAATAATGTTATATCAGCAACTTATCATTGATTTCTATTGATGTCAGGTTAGATATTTGGCAGTAACAGTAGTTAGATTAATCTTGGTAAATGGGAGCCTGTAGTTGTGACTCCAGGCATAGGCTCCATCCCCTGCCACTACGACTACCATATTCAAGCACCTATTGTGTAATCTATGCAATTTTGGAGGAGGAAAAGTTTATATTCTCTTTAAAGCCCTAGATAAAAAGACTTGGGATTCATAGAACTGGCTTCATTTCAAGCTCTGATCCTTATCTGGTTTATGTTGTTCTCTCTCTCTCTCTCTCTCTCTCTCTCTCTCTCTCTGTGTGTGTGTGTGTGTGTGTGTGTGTGTGTGTGTGTGTGTGTGTGTTTGCCATATATTAGGAACAGAACCCTTAGTTTCATTAAGCCAGGGTCACGGTCACATGCCAGCACTTATGGCTTGTTACAACAAAAAGTGCCAATCTATTAGGTTGGTGCAAATGTAATTGAGGTTTTTGCAATTTAAATGTAATGGCAAAAACAGCAATTGCTTTTGCACCAACCTAATACAAACTATATGAGAATACTACTCTAATGTATTTGTTGCATGCTCTACTTGAGCCTACATGAGTGTGTTCCTCCTATAACTAGGTATATTATTGCTTATATGATACATATAATTTTAGCAGTTTTCAGTTGACTTTTTAAAGCATGCAAAATATGTGACTATATCACTTGTAAAATTTGTAAGTTTTTTTTGTGCTAATAGTTAGGCCTCTTCGTTTTTCTGTCTAAATTGCATTATTTACAGCTTTTGAAATAATGTTAAATGGTAATGATGCCAGCAGAAGTTTTTTCATTTAAAATTAATTTTTTTCCTATTTAAATGTGGAAGTCTTACCCATTCATTCTTTGTTTCAGCCTGTTACTTTGAGATAATTTTTTACAGAAAAATTATAGATACATTAAAGAGAGTTTTCATAACCCATCCTCAACTTCCCTAATACTTTTAGTTCTGTGAGTTTCCACAGTACATTCCAGTATATTCTCCTCTCCTTTTTAGCTGTTTCCTATTTTAGGCAAACATAAAACAATTTTTGTAAACAAGGAAAATAGCATCAATACAGTAATATTAACTCATTGATGACATCATTCAACATCTTGCACTTGGCCTGCATATGACTGTTCCTCCTCAGACAGGATTGACTCTCCAAACCCCTGTTGAATTTAGTTGTCCTGTCTCCTTTGTCTTTTCTAATATTTGACAGTTCTTCAGTCTTCTTTTGCTTTCAGGGCTGTGTGAAGTCTGCTCAGGCTGATAAAACAAAATACCATAGACTGGATAGCTTAACCAATTGACACTTACCTCTCAGTTCTGGAGGCTAGGAAGTCCAAGATCAAGGTGCCAGGCAATTTGGTTCCTAGTAAGAGCTCTCCTTCTGGCTTGCCGCTGCCTGTCTCCTCACTGTGTCATTACATGGTGAAGAGGGAGAGCTGTAATCTCTTTTCCTCTTCTTAGAAGGACACTAGGCCAGGCATAGTGGCTCACACCTGTAATCTCGCACTTTGGGAGGCCAAGGAGTGCAGATCATGAGGTCAAGAGATTGAGACTATCGTGGCCAACATGGTGAAACCCTGTCTCTACTAAAAATACAAAAACTAGCTGGGCGTGGTGGCACGCACCTGTAGTCCCAACTACTCAGGAGGATGAGGCAGGAGAATCGCTTGAACTCAGGAGGCGGAGGTTGCAGTGAACCGAAATTGCTCCACTGCACTCCAGCCGAGGCGACAGAGTGAGACTCCATCTCAAAAAAAAAAAAAAAAAATGAAGGACACTAACTCCATTCGGGGATTATGCCCTCATGACCTCATCTAAACCTAATTTCCTCACAAAGGCCCCATCTCCCAATAACTTACACTGGTGGGGAGGGCTTCGATATATAAATTTGGAGGGGAAGGACACAAATTTTCAGTCCATTACAAGGACCTTGACACTTTTGAAGGTCACTGGCCAGCTATTTTGTAAAACGTCCTCAATTTGAATTTGTAAAATTTTTTCTTATTTTTATGCAGTTACATGGTTTTAGCAGGAATAGTGATATGAGCCTTATCTTATTATTCCATTTAGAACCTTGAAATGTGACTATCAAATGTTTCTGTTTTTTAACAGAGCATCAGAGATTAAAGGTAACTATGGGCTGTGGACCAAGAGAATTAAGGCCAGCACACAGCTATTAAATATATATTTTAGGCCCATTAACCATAGCTTCAAGTAGATACTGGTGGATCTTGACCAGAACGAATGCTTATTCTCAACATGGATTTGCATAGCTGGCAAGTGAGACAAATGCCTCAAACTCTGTTAGAGGCCTATAAAATAAAATGTTATTTTATTTTGTACCCCCTGCTTTTCAGCTGATCAAGCAATCCATTTTACTGGCGATTCAGTAAAACAAGAGGGATAATAAGAGACTGAAGACATAGTTTGCATGATTAAGTGAACTTGTATTAAAATTTAATACGTATGGAAATAAATGTCAGTCACCATTAGACATCTTGCTGAAATATTCTGGGCTGTGGGAAGGCAGGAAATAAGGATAGGAGGTAACACAAGAATTTATATAATTTACATAAATATCATGCCTACTTCCTCCAATTTTTATTTTCCTCTGTCAAATATTATAGTGCTGAGAGCAAGCCTGCATTATGTTTTCTAGAAGAAGAATCCATTCATAAATATGACACCATGACAATACATCTGGATATCCCTGTCTGAATCCCTAAAATAAGGATAGGCTGGGTCATTCCTATCCTCACCTTTCTAATCTGGGATTATTGATCCCTGACTCTTTTCTACCTAGTGGATAAAACAACCCTGTATGTTTGTCTGTATGAAGCCTACTTCATATGACAGAGAATGGACAAAGGGGAAGCAGTGACTCCACTCATAGGGTGTCTAGCTCTGTGGATCAGTTTTCTGGTTGAGCTAGTGGGTAAGGTCTAAGGGAAAATTAAGAACAGAGAAATAGATAGGAAACATTCCTGACAGAGCTGATAAATGAAAAATGCCAAAATAAGCTAATGTAACACTGATAACCCATGAGAAGTTCCTCATTTCCTATTATAGGTGAATTCTAAACATGTAGAATGTATTCCCACCAATCACACTCAGAATTGTTTCACTTAGAAAGGACTGCCAGGAAAAATACTTCCTTGTATTATACAATCTTCAGAGGCTTCTGCATAGAATGGAAAGTACAACAATGTGGAGTTTTGGCCCTACACTCACTTTTAAATCAAAATATTCTCATTCCTTACATCAAACTTCTGTATCAGATATCGTTTGAAAAATATGATTCTTCTGATTTTTTTTAAAAGCTCTTAAACCTGAAATAGCAGATAGTAGCATTTAATTAGCTGGCCACTAAAATGGAATTCAATTGAAAAGAATTCTACGTCTCAAAATTGTATGAGATATCAGGGCTTACTTGTTTGTATGTGTCTGTGTGTTTATGTGCACGCACATGAACACACAGATGCATGTGTTTCTCAAGTGAGCAAAATTCAGTACCTCTGGAAAGAAAAATACACAAGAAAGGAAATCCAGCTTAAAATAACCTGAATCTATATGTCTTTACAAAAGAAAATCAACAAAATGAGTTAAATGTAGTCGGCAATGAGTTTGCTGTTTAATGATATCAGGAAATGAGCCAAATGCTTGATATTGTTCAGTTGTGGAAAGCATTTCAGATGAAATTCAGCTGAATGAGTGTCAAAGTCATATCATCTTCAGTCTAATGTGTCATAGGGAGAAAAAAAATACGATATATGCATCATTACCAAACCAACTTAAAGTTGTTATCTTTTCACAAGATACAAAAGCCAGAAAAATAAAATAATGATGTTTCCTGGACAGGGAGTGATAAATCATTTCTTTTATTATAGAGTCTAGTGTTGTTTCTGAATCTTTAAAATAAGGTAAGTATTCTTCAGCTACACATGGAGAAATAGCCTAAAACTCTCTAAGACATGCTGGAGAAAAAAAGCCATTGAGAAATGAAGTAAAATGTATTAAAAAATAATAATTTCTTCCTGGAAAAATACAAAAGATACTGTTTTTATAATAGATTTTAAAAGGTAGAAAGTTAATACAGTAATTTAGAAGACAAATATTTGAAAAATGTGGCCAGCCTATATAAAGAGAGAAAATTTTAGTAAAAGAAATTTAAATAAATTGAAATCTCAAAGGAGAGCTATCTTGATTTCACATCAGAATTAACAATTGGAATGGATTTCAGAAAACACAAAACAAGTTACTCTCTAGGAATATACTGAATGACAAGTGGGCAAGTTAAGTCCCAGAGGAAATTAGTGGGCAAAATTTATTTGAAGAAGTAATTATCTAAAGTAAGAAACCCAATAAGATTTTCAAACACTGAAATGAAAAATTTCCCTTGTAAAGCTCTTTAACAGTGGGACAAATAAATTTCTCTATATTCTGGCCTTTTTTTAAAAGCAGTTTCTTTTCTCACCCTGTCCAGTAAAATTATAAATAAAATCCATCAAACCTGAAATCTGTCAAATGGTAAATTGCTTAAAACGTATTGGGCAAGAAGTTTCAAAGGCTAAAGAGAAAAAGATATTATGTTTTTCTGTTTAATTTACCTTGTCTTGATGACCTTCCACAAGTTCACATTTTAAACAAATTATTGGTTTTGATAAACATAATGACAAACTGACTGATTTTTTATTCTGACACAGATAGATATAATTGACTAACATGTTTAGTCAATGTTAAATTTAAATGGAGTAATTTATCCATTGTATACTTGGAGTCTTGTTTTCACAACAAAAAATAATTACGATTTTGCACTTCATACCCATTATATTTTAGAAGGTATAAGCATAGTACCTCAAAGAAACTAAAAAATATATAGTTTAAATTTCATACTTTAATAAATGTATTTTAATAAGAGATCAAGCTCAGAGCAGGGATGTCCCTTATAGCTCATTGGGTACTACTGGTGTGGAATACCATTTGTGTTCTTAGCTATGTCTTTTCCATGTCTCTACATCTCCCTGGACAGCATCTGCCTTCATGGCTGTGAGCCCTGGTAAAAGTATCTTTCTTTGATCCTTATAGCCCAAGGGAAGATAGTAACATCTTCCTGTTGCTATTCTTTGGATTGCTTCATGGCCCCTGTGTGGCTTTTTAGTTCTTCCTACAGGCTAACTAGTTCTGAGATTTACATGCTCTCCATTTTACTACATAGTATGGGCTCTGTTCTCCAGACTGAAGGGCATGGGACACTAACACGTCACAAAGTAATTACTGAACATCACATACAGCAAAGTAGAATAACTGATGTTTACAATGGTGACTTTGAGAAGGCACGTCAAGGTAGATTCAGTATATTATTATCCCTCTTTGACTGTTTCATTAGATCAATCAACGTTAGGCCATCCTGGAAGCTCACTCAACCCATGTTATGGGACCAATACTCACCACAGTTAAGATCAATGAAAGATACTCAACCTGAGTAATTCTCTAACCCAGTATTTGGACTATGGTCACACCTCGAGGGTTTTCTCAAACCTGTTGGCATAATTTCAGATGCCACTAATCTGACATTTTCTGACGCATTAACTTCTAAAGGCTTACCTGCCTTTCTCCTGTCTATACTGATACGTTGGTATTATACTACCATTATGGTTTATGATAACTGCATTTTAATTATTATTCCATCCCTGTTTAATTGCTTTTCTGTTAGGTTCATTCTTTTCTGGAATTACATTCCTCTCCTAGATCACCGACATCCAGGCTATCTGTCACTGCTTTTACTCCTTCCGTAGGCACACCTGCATTTAACCCTGAATACCTGCATAGATAACCAGGCCTGACCTTCAGTCCGGATCATTTGGCTGTTTCCAAACCCCAGTTGTGAAAGAAGCACATATTGTTTTGTATTTCCATGAAAAAAAACATTTAAATTAAAAAATAACTTAGCTGGACACTTGATGATGCAGACAGATATGAACATAGATATTGCCTCACAGGCTTGCCAAGCTACCTTCAGAAACTCCTAGAATTTAATAGATTTATGGGATGGGTTTTATCATTTTTTAAACATTTTTCTTTAAGATAATGCTATTCATCTGTACTAGTCTGTTTTCATGCTGCTGATAAAGACATATCCAAGACTGGGCAATTTACAAAACAAAGAGGTTTAATCGACTTACAGTTCCACATGGTTGGGGAGGCCTCACAATCACAGTGGAAGGTAAGGCAGAGCAAGTCACCTCTTAACATGGATGGCGGCAGGCAAAGAGAGAGCTTGTGCAGGGAAACTCCCATTTTTAAAACCATCAGATCTCATGAGACTCATTCACTATCACAAGAACAGCTCAAGAAAGGCCTGTCCCCATAGTTCAATCACCTCCCACTAGGTCCTTTCCACAACACATGGGAGTTACAATTCAAGATGAGATTTGGGTGGGGACACAGCTAAACCATATTATCATCCCAGATAAATGATTTTAAAAACTTGTTTGATACTCCCAAAACAAAGTTCCAGTTAACACTGATAATTTGTTTTAATGTAAGCTTACTTATAAGATTCAAAACCCATATTGTAATCAACTTTATATTCCAAAGCCAGAAATATTTATTTATTAATTAAACATTTTCTAAGTGTTTGATATATGACAGTCTGGGAAAATAAACCATGACTTAAGCCATTAAAACAGGTAGTCTAATGTAATACATGTAACATGATAAGGATACAGAATGTCATAATAACATAATTTATTTAGGTAAATCTGCTCCATCTCCCACATTGTCTCTTTTGTATGATTTTAACCTGAAAAGGTCATTAAAATAGAATTTTTTTTTACAGACACATATTTTGTATTTGTGAGAGAAGCTAGAACTACCATCTCTTTAATATTTTACTAGGAAATTCAAAAATATGACCCAAATTTAACTGTTTATTCTTACCGTCTATCTTATTTACATGATTCCTTTGCAATAATCAAAATGATCACCTTTTGCATCCTAAAAAAGACTGGACCTTTTTTATCTTTGTCTCTCTATAAATATTATTTGTTCATGGTAGAAACATCTTTATATATCCAAATTCTACCCACCATTCTTAAATGGTAAAGCCCCAGTTAAAGTCTTTTTCCATTAAAGTTCTTTATATTATTTTTGCCCACAACTGAACTCATAATATGTATTCTCTTTTATTTCTCTTGTGTAACACTGCTATATCCCTCATTATAATACATAAACTATTATAATCTTTTGCATCATCTTTCTATCAAAATAAGCTTCTTTTTATACAGTTTCTATAATAAGCTGTTAACTATAATACTTTGTTTGTTTGTTTGAGACAGTGGCTTCCTCTGTTAACAAGGCTGGAGTACAGTGTCATGATAACAGCTCACTGCAACCTCAACCTCCCGGGCTCAAGTAATTCTCTCACCTTAGCCTTTCAAGTAGCTGGGACTACAGGCCTGCATCACCACACCAGACTAATTTTTTATTTTTTGTAGAGATGGGGTCTCATTATACTGCTCCAGCTGGGCTCAAACGCCTGAGCTCAAGCGAGCCTCCCACCTTGGCTGCCTAAAGGGCTGGTATTATAGGTATGAGGATTAGAGGTGTGAGCCCTGACACCCGGCCTGTTAACTATGATAAACTGAGAGCTTCTGTAGTACAAAACACATGACAAGACCTCTTACAATCCTTCATACACAGAAGATGTTAAATGCATGTGTTCTTTTTAAATATAATTGCATTGATATATGGATACTATGTTGTCATTTTGTGTATTGGTATTTTACTTCATCTGTCTGAAGCAGAATGTAAACTCTAGTGAGAAGGAACCACATCATATGCAAGTTTATCTATACTATAATACCTAAACTAGACTTGAATGAGTAAATATCGCTCATAGATATACAAAAAACCCTGGGAAGTATCATGGAAAAATGTGTAGGGGGTTCCTGTGCAAAGAGTTGGAGAAAAACCTAGAGAAAAGGAACATATGCAAAGACTGTGTGGTAGAAAAAAAGCATGGCACAGTTGAAGAAATAAAAGAAGTTGAGGATAACAGAACAGACATCAAAGGGTAGCATAGGCCCATGGAAAAGTGTTGGGACCCCTTCATGCCAGACTATAGGACATGCTTATAGTTAAGTCTGTATCCCATGTGTAAAGGTAAGTCATCTAAATGTTTATGCCAGGAAACATAAGTAGATGTCTGCTTTTTAAAATATGCCTTTACCGCAGAATGCAAATTCCAGGGGTCTCCAACATGTCTGAGGGAAAAGTTACCGAGGGTCTACTGCTCTAGATTAGGTGGGGTATGATTGTAGCTTAAAGTGGTGGCAGTGCAGATGGAAAGAAGCTGAAATATTTGAAAGATATTTAAGTTAAAGTTGATAGGACATGGCAAGAGGTATTGTTGGGAAACATCATATGTTTAATCTTAAACATGTCAAATTTCAGTTGTCCATAAGGCCTCCTAGTTGCTGTCTTAGGAAGGCAGTTAGACACAAGCTCACAGGAGAGGTCTGGGCAATCAATTAATGCTCAATAGCAGAATTTAGACTATGGTGATATATAATGCCCTGGGAGTCAGTAGAGAGAGGGTATCAGCACTTTAAGGAAACCCCCTATTCCTTGTACATGGAAATGAAGAGAAACCAGGAAAGGAGAATGAGAAGGAGCAATGCCCAGGGGAAAATAACAACAGAAAGCATAATCACACAAGCCAATGAGAGTGTTTTAGGAATAAAGAAGGAAGATGAGGACTGAAAATACACATGAGCTTTGACAACATGGAACCCCTGTTTTGAGAAATATGGGGATGACAAGTGTGTGCCAAGTGAACAAATTAATCCTGTGGTTATAAAAAAATATGTTTTGAGAAGCTGGGCTGTGGATGGAAGACAAGAGGTAAGTCAAGTGGTGGAGGAATACATGGTGTTAAGGGAGGAATTTTTTTTCAGTCATGTTTATAATAGTCATACAATTAATCCAGTTAAAAACAACTAGTGGTTATAGAGAAGAAAGAAGGAATAACTGATAATGCTCAGAAAAAAAGTGCGAGGAAACTCCCACTTTAAAAAGTATTTAAAGCACGGGAGATTATTTTGCTTTAGTTAAGGGGAGCCATACCGTCACTGATGAAACCAATCTAAAAAGAATGGCTGATGTTAAAGATGTGTCAAAGATGGTTGGATTATAAATGTGATATTAAGGATTTAATAGTGTTGTAGCTAATATACTTAAATGTTCTCCATGAGGTACACATGAAAAAAGAGGGAGTGTTTGGGATTTTTAAAGACATTGAAAAAGATTTGAAATAGTTTGCAAAGAATGAGAATTTGAAATTACAGAGCAATGTAATAAAATTTGAGAGTAACTGAGCCAACGAGGGGTATGCTTGGGATATCTTAAAAGCAAATAAAGCAGTTAAAAGTAATATTCCATTTGTGATATAGCAATCTTGAGGGAGAGAGATGAAACAATAATGTACATTTCTCTCAGGATTGAAGTAAACAAGATGAAAAGAGTTTTTTCTATGGCAGAATAATATCTGGGGCTATTTGTTGATGCAGACATGCATATATGAACACAGTTTCCTAACACTCTTTGCCCTTTCTTCAAAGAATCGGCAGCATTCATTGCCTGAGGAAGACAGCAAAACTAAAGAATTTTTTTATCTAGGACATCAAAGTTTTTGATTTGGGGGAGTCCAAACTTTTGAATATAAAAAGCTAAGAACCTGAAGGACTAGAGGAATGCACACTATATTTGAAACAATACTTGTATTATTTAAGCAGGTTTAGGATTATCTCTTAAAAATATACCCCAAAACACAGTGGTATAAACAAGGCAAAAATGTATGCCATTCTCATATAATAATCTGAGGTTGTGGTCTAGTCGAGTACAGAGGCTTGGACATAATCAGTCTTCACTCTTTCAGAGCTTCCTGATGTCACTGGTTTAATTTGAAGGTACAGAATCACTCATTGTTTTGACCTCTGACAGGCTTCCAATTATGGTTTTATCCCTCAATCTAGAGGGCAGGCTACAGGCATCAAGAGTCTCCCTTAGCAAAGCTGTACTCTCTTCCTTCTCTGCTTTCAACATATGCAAGTACGGCTTGATTTCTTCTCCCACCTATAGGTCTTTGGTGAGAGAAGAAACTGACACAAACCAATATTAATTCTGAAAGCACTTGTAAATTCAGTCAGCTTGTGGCCTGGATTCCGATATATCGCAAGCAGCAGTTATACCTAGCTATGGATTAACAGGATTCGCAAATTTCCTAGTACACAATATATGCTTCCTCAGTGCATTCCAGTCAACTGTTAAAAAAAATTAGTTTTTATTTTAGTGACCAACTTTTGGGAGAAAATTATGTTAGTTAGGATAAAGACTTAGCTATAAAGAACCCAGAACATTTTATCAAGAAAGCTGCCCTATCTACATAAAATCCAGAGTCTTCTCAAGAAAAGTCAATGTCTTTGTTGCTCTTAGGTACCCATGACCCTCCTAAACATGTTTCCCTTTCATTTATAAGACCATTTTTAGAATTAGGATGTTTACTTCAGCTCCTGGCAATAATTAACATTCCATGAAAAAAAAAACCTGGAATGTGACAGAAAAATTACCTAAACCTTAGGAACAAAGAAAAAAATGGATGGTAAATCTTTTCAATGTCTTAGGGAAGCAAAGTCCACACAAGCACTGGATAATGTACTTAGTTAACCTCACTGTTATTAATTAACAGTCTCAGTCTTAGTGAAGATGCTTGCTAATTTGTTAATGTTATGACCCTGTTAGCCACTATCCTGTTTTATATGTAACTCAATCATCTTATTTAGATATTTTTTTGTCAAATTGCCTATAATATTCTTGATTTTCAGATGGTCTTTTAACCTGTCATAACATCTTGCTTATTCCCTTGTTAATTATTATGTTAAATAATATCTTTGACACATACTCTTTTTCTATTTGCTTCAGTGCCATAATATTTTATCTTTCTGAAAATTATACTTTATTAAGGGCAAGCCATTGCATTTAATGTCATAACCTATAAGTTGTTAATATCACATGCACGTATATATATTTGGTCATAACTTGGTAACATGGCCATATCTAACTTCGAAGGAGGCTAAGAAATATAATTGGCATTTTTTTCATAGTGGCAAGTTTCCCAATTAAAATTTTAAAAATTTCCTAATAAAGGAAGGGGGAAATGGATATTGAAGGTTGCCCATCAGTTTGCAACAGCCATAGTTATCAGTCATAACTAGTTTTCTCACCCTAGAGGAAATAATAGTTTCCTGGCCTACTAAATAAAAATAGATTTAAAAAAAGGTGGGGGGACACAGAATGTGAGACACTGGAACCTACCCCTCTATAAGAGACTCTTCTATAAACTCAAAGTTGGGCTCATATAAAAGGGGAAATGAGGCCAGGCACGGTGGCTCATGCCTGTAACCCCATACCAGCCCAAGTAGAAGCACTCAATTCTTTCGTTGCAGTAAAAAAGCAGCCATAGATTATACTTTCACACATTTTGGGATACAAATAAAGTTGAGTGTGTGTGTGTGTGTGTGTGTGTAGTAAATTTGAATTGAATTGCACACTGTATAAAAATCAACAATCTGTATTGAGGTTGATTCTAATTCAATCAGAACCTTTCTTACGTATACATAAGGTACTTTTTACAAATTTGTACAAATAATGGTTTATTAGTTATATTCATTTACAAATTAATTAAAACACTTGTGGACATAAGAGATACTGTATTATGATATCCTTAAAGTTCTAATAAATATTAGTATTCCCCAAAATAATTAAATTGGAAGTGAATAAAAAGGCCGAAATTCATTAAAATTAAATTTTTCTTGATTGTTTTAATGACAGTTTGTATTTTACATCTTACTACTGTCAATTTCATTTTGAATCACCATTTCCTTTCACTGATCCCCAAAAATCGGGAATTAGTTTTGTATAAAGCAGATTTAAAAGCAGAAAATATTACCAGGTACAAAGACAGGTCATTTTATAATAACAAAAAGTTATCTCATCCAGAAGATGTAACAATTTTAAATGTTTATGAACTTAACAGCAGAACCTAAATATATTTGAAGGAAAATTGATAGGACTTGAAGAAGAAATAAACAAGTTGATGACTTTATTTTTAGATTTTTCTAAGTTTCTCTTTCAGTAGGAAATAGAAAAAATAGAAAATTAATAAGTATACAGAGACCTTGAATAAAACTATCAACCAACTTGACCAAAATGATAGTCATTAGAAACTCCATACAGAAACACTAGAATATACATTATTTTCCAATCGATGTAGACATTTGCCAAGATAGCATAATATGCTCCACAAAACAAGTCTCACATAATACGTAAGTAATCTGACCACAACGGAAGTTAATTAGAAACCAGAAAGATTAGAAAATTAGAAACAAAAAAAAATGTGGAATTTTCCCTATAATGGGTTGAATAGTGTCAACTAAAATTCCCATCCTTCCCAGAACCTCAAAATTTGACCTTATTTGGAAACAGGGTTTTTGCAGATATAACTAGTTAAGTAAAGATGAGGTCATATTGGAGTAGGGTGGGCCCTTAATTCTTTATGACTTGTGTCCTCATAAGAGGAGAAAAGACACATAGACACACCCACAGAACAGCATGTGATGGCAGAGAGATCGGAGTGATTTAACCAAGGAATTCCAAGACCTGCTAGCCACCATTAGAAGCCAGATGTCGGCAAGAAATCATTCTTTTTCAAAGTCTTAAAGAGAGAGCAAAGTTCTGCTGACACTTTGATTTCAGACTTCTAGCCTTCATAACAGTAAGAAAATAAATTTCTTTGGTTTTAAACTGACCAGTTTGTGGTATATTTTTATGGCAACTCTAGGAAACTAATACATTTTTCAAATATTTATAAACAAAAGTATAAGTTTTTAAATAACCCATGGGTCAAAGAAGAAATCAAAAGGGAAATCAAAGTGTTTTCAGGTGAATGAAAATGAAAGCAAAAGAACTCAAAATTTTGATGATGTGGCTAAAGTACATTTGGGGAATAAAATGTAATAAACAGCTGTATTAAAAAGAAAAGTTCAGCTTCCATGACACATTTAGGCATTTAAAAAAAGAAGGAGAAATAAAAAGAAAGAGCAAAGTGGACCCAAATTAAACAGAAGATGTAGAATAATAAACATTAAAATACAAATTGATGAAATAGAAAACAGAAAATGAATAGAAAAAAATCAGTGGAACCAAATCTAGTTATTTGAGTATATCAATAAAAGCGATAAACTTCTAGTCAGACAAATCATGGAAAAAGAGAAAGGAAATTACCAATAACAGAAATGAAACACATGTTCACTCCAGTTTTTACGGTTACTACAGAGGCTGAGGTGGGAAGATCACTTCAGCCCAGTAAGTCACGGCTGCAATGAGCTGTGATCTGCACTCCAGCCTGGTTGGCAAAGCAAGACCCTGCCCTCCTCTCGGCCACCAAAAATCTAAAAGAAATAGAAATAGTCAAGGAATTAATTATCTCCTGAAGTCTCTAGAGGGAGTGGGGCCCCGCCAACACCTCTATTTTGGCCCCAGACCCCAGCGATACTGATTTCAGACATCTGAATAAGGGAGAAAATTTCTGTTATTTAAGAGGATGGTAATTTTTACTGTGGCACTATTCACAATAGCAAAGACTTGGAACCAACCCAAATGTCCATCAATGATAGACTGGATTAAGAAAATGTGGCACATATACACCATGGAATACTATGCAGCCATAAAAAAGGATGAGTTCATGTCCTTAAGTAATTTTGTCAGGCAGAAGGTAAATGATACTATGTGGAATTATGAATCTATGAAAAGGGATAAAGAAATAAAAAGCATCAGAAAGTTAATTATAAGTAAATTATATAAATTTAAAATGTAAATGAAAATACAGGCATACCTCACTTTATCACTCTCTGTTGTGATTCATGATACTGCACTTTTTACAAATTGAACATTTGTGGGAACCTTGTGTAAAGCAAGTCTTTGGAGCAATTTTTCCAACAGCACGTGCTCACTTCATGTCTCTGGCTCACATTTCGGTAATACGTGCAGTATTTCCAACTTTTTCAGTTTTATTATATCTGTTATGGTGACCTGTAATCAGTGATCTTTGATGGTACTATTTTAGTTGTTTTGGACACCACAAACTACACCCATATAAGACAGAGAACAAAATCAATAAATGTTGTGTGGTTCTGACTGCTCAATTGACTGGCCATTCCCCATCTCTCTCCCTCTCCCAGAGCCTCCCTATTCTCTTAGGGACAACAATATCAGAATTAGGCCAATGAATAACTCTATCATGGCTTCTGAGTGTTCAAGTGAAAGGAGAAGTTGCACGTTTCTCAATTTAAATCAAAAGCTGTAAATGATAAAGCTTGGTCAGGAAAGCATGTTGAAAGCCAAGACAGGCTGAGAGTTAGGCCTCTTGCGCTAAATAGCCAAGACATCAATGAAAATAAAAACTTATTGAAGAAAATTTAAAGTGCTACTCCTGTGAACATATAATGATAAGAAGTCAAAACAGCCTTATTGATGATAGGAAGAAAATTTCAGTAAGTCCGGGTAGAAGATCAAACCAGCCACATTTCCTTAAGCCAAAATCTAATCCATAGAAAGGCCCTAACTCTTTTCAGTTCTATGAAGGCTGAGAGGGATGAGGAAGCTCCAAAAGAAAAGATAGAAGCTAGCAGAGGTGATTCATGAGATTTAAGGAGAGAAGTTATCTCCACAGCATAAAAGTACAAGGTGAAGCAGCAAGTGCTAATGTAGAAGGAGCAGCATGTTATCCAGATGATCAAGCTTAGATCATTGATGAAGGTGGCTTCAGAAAACAGATTTTCATTGTAGACAAAACAGATTTTACTGGAATAAGATGCCATCCAGGACATTCACAGCTAGAAAGGAGAAGTCAATGCCTGGCTTCAAAGCTTAAAGACAGGCTAACTCTCTTTTTAGGACCTAATGCAGTTGATGCGATTAACTTGAAATATTCATTTACCATTGCAAAAATCTTAGAGCCCTTAAGAATTATACTAAATCTACTCTGCCTGTGCTCTAGAAATGGAAGGAAAAAGCCTGGATGATAGCACATCTGTTTACAGCATGGTTTACTGAATATTTTAAGCCCACTCTTGAGACCTAGAGCCCAAAAAGAAAGATTCCTTTCAAAATATTACTGCTCATAGACAATGCTCCTGGTGACCCAAGAGCTCTGATGGAGATGTAGAAAGAGATCAATGCTGTTTGCATGCCTAATAACACAGCAACCATTCTGTATCCCATGGATCAAGGAGTAATTTTGACTTTCAAATCTTATTTTTTAAGATTTAGATTTCATAAGGCTATCCCTGCCATAGATCGTGATTCTTCTGAGGGATCTGGGTAAAGCAAATTGAAAATCTTGCTTTCTCAAATCTTGCTTTCGAAAGAATTCACCATTCTAGGTGTCATTAAAAACATTTGTGATTCATGGAAGGAGCTCAAAATATCTACATTAACAGGAGTTTGGAAGAAGTTGATTTCAACTCTCATGGATAAATTTGAGGGGTTCAAGACATCAGTAGAGAAGGCCTTGCAACATGGTAGAAATAGCAGGAGAACTAGAATTAGAAGCAGAGCCTAAAGATGACAGTAAATTGCTGCAATCTCATGATAAAACTTTCTTGGATGAGGAGTTGCTTCTCATGGATGAGGAAAGGAAGTGGTTTCCTGAGATGGAATATATTCCTGGTGAAGAGGCTGTGAACACTGTTGAAATGAAAGCAAAAGATTTACAATATTACATAAACTTGGTTGATAAAGCAGTGGCGGGGTTTGAGAGGCTTGATTATAATTTTGAAATAAATTCTGCTGTGGGTAAAATGTTATTAAACAGCTTTGCAAACTACAGAGAAGCCTTCTGTGAAAGGAAGACATGATTGGCATTTGAATCAGTGTACTAAGTAGAGAAGATGTGCCCTCACCTGGTGTGGGAGGGCACCATGAATCAACTGAGGGCCTGAATAGAGCAAAAAGGCAAATTCCCTTTCTCTCTCCTAGAGTTGAGGCACTCTACTTCTCCTGCTTCTCTCAGAACTCCAGGTCTCTGGCCTTTGGGCTCTGGGACTTACACCAGTGGTCCCTCAGTTTCTCAGGCCATTGGCCTCAGACTGAGAGTTATACCATCGGCTTCCATGTTCTGAGGCCTTTTGACTTGGACTGAGCCAGCTTCCCTGGTTCTCCAGCTTAAAGATGGCCTAATGTAAAATTTCTCAGCCTCCATAATCTCATGAGTCAATTCACCTAATAAATCCCCTCTCATATATCTCTCTATCTCTATCTGTCTGTCTATCTATCTATCTATCGGTCTATCTATCATTATCATCTATCTATATCTATATCTATCTATCTTATTGGTTTCTCTGGAGAACCCTGTCTAATACAGACTTAAAGTTCACAATAGTGTAACCTCCCCCAAGAATGTAACCCCTTAAAAAGCCTATAACCTCCCCCAAAGAAATCCTCACTCTCATATTAGTCCACACTCAGCCTCCAGCAATTCCTCAAAATTACCTTGTGTTTCTACCAGTACAAGTCTTCAGATGGCTCAGGTAAGAAGATGTAAACTGTTACTCTGGATTTGCCTGTCTATAGATTTTGGGGTAATCACACTTGCCCCATGAGTTCAGTCTTCTGATGGGTCCAAAAATGTCACTGGGTTTCAGTTTGATCAGATTTTTTTGTTTTTCTTTAAGATGTGAGTGAGAACTTCCAAGGTCTTAGGACAAAGCTAAAACCAGAAACTCCAAAACCGGTTTTTGAAACACTCAAAATGATGTTTCTAAGCTTGTGAGTCTATGAATAATATATTTTGGTATTGTAACAAACAACAGAGAAACAATGAGATGTTCAACATATTGACTTATAATGAACTCTTACAATGTCTGCTTCTATCTACAATTTTATAAATGTAAACTACAGATAAGCAAGGGGTAATTATAATTCTGGTTCTAAAGCAGATTAACATGCCACAATTTTCATACTTTTCAGAGTTTAAAACCCATTTTATCTGTTACTTAATTTATATATGAAGTTGATAAAACAAAAAGCTATAATAATAGTAACAGAGTAATAATGATGTGTTTCTCATCTTTAATATAGTGTTTTACTTCTGGTGTAGACAAGAATCACAGAAGATTTGCGTGGAAGAGCCAGCAAAGATCCCTTCAAACCACTGTCAAGGGGAGTAGAATTTTAACATACACCCAGGACATTCTCTTTTTATTTTTTTGAGACAGAATCTCACTCTGTCACCCAGGCTGGTGTGCAGTGGCATGATCTCAGCTCACTGCAACCTCTGCCTCCCGGGTTCAAGCGATTCTTCTGCCGCAGCCTCTCGAGTAGCTGGGACTACAGGTGTGTGCCACCACACCTGGCTAATTTTTGTATTTTTAGTAGAGATGGAGTTTCACCATATTAGCCAAGCTGGTCTCGAACTCCTGACCTCATGATTCATCCGCCTCGGCCTCTCAAAGTGCTGGGATTACAGGTGTGAGCCACTGTGCCCGGCCGGGCATTCTTCATAACAGATGTTACTTTCAGGGAAAAGTCTTAATAGGACTTTGTTTCAAAAGGGATTAAGTGTATCACTCTCTTCCTCCTTCTAGGATTTCTGCTTCAACTAATTAGGGAACAAAGGCTAAGAATTACTTAAAAGTCACAGACCAAGGACACAGATCCACTGAAAGATAGAGATTTCATCGTAAGATTAGAGAAGGCTTCCACTTCCCCACCCCTTATCATCATACCAACAGGACTTACTGCTGAAAGTCCTGCAAGATACAAATTTGAAAAGAAGAACATAGAGAAGCCTGAAATCAGCAAAGGAAATAAAAACAAGGACATCAGAAGCGTTTGAAACATCCTGGCAACACAGATACAGCAAACATTAAACACAGCACAATGCCTAGCCAGATTAAAATAAAACCTCAAATTCAAGGCCAATATATGTCCTGTTGTCAACATATTGCTATTATTTGCTTTTAATTAGATCTTGTTTTCTCTTTATAGGTAAATCCATACACATGAATCGCAAGAACAGTTGTTGTTTTCTTTTGAGGCAAGGTCTCTGTCACCCAGGTTGGAGTGCAGTGGCATGATCACAGCTCACTGCAGTCTGGAACTCTTGCACTCAAGCGATTCTCTCACCACAGCCTTCCAAGTAGCTAGGGCTACAGGTACATGCCACCACGCCAATTGTATTTTTTGTTTGTTTGTTTGTTTTTCTAGAACCGGGAGTCTCACTATCTTGCCCAGGCTGGTCTCAAATTCCTGGCTTCAAGCGATTCCCACCTCACCCTCCCAAATTGCTGAGAATACAGGCGAAGAACAGAGTTTTAGAAACATTTCTACAGTAGTAACAGAAAGAAAAAACAGAGCTGACTTAAGTGTCTCAGATCCTCAAAATAGTTTTAATTGAATATATATTTGATTTCAGGTAAAAAAAGGATTTTTTGTCAGGATTATATATGTAGTAGATTCATTTCCTACCTTTTATTTATGTGACTGGCCTTCTCATAAACCTTCATGGAAGAAAATTTAAAATTTTTCTGAAATTTTAAAGTTTTTCTGGTACCAACGCACAAGATTAATAAATAACTTATGAGGCCTAGGCGGGCAGATCATGAGGTCAGGAGATCAAGACCGTCCTGGCTAACATGGTGCAACCCCGTCTCTACTAAAAATACAAAAAATTAGCCAGGTGTGGTGGCGGGCACCTATAGTCCCAGCTACTCGGGAGGCTGAGGCAGGAGAATGGCATGAACCCAGGAGGCGGAGCTTGCAGTGAGCTGAGATCATGCCACTGCACTCAAGCCTGGGTGACAGAACAAGTCTCCATCTCAAAATAAAATAAAATTAATTAAATAAATAAATAAATAACGTATGCTTTTGAAGAGAATAAACATAAACTAGAATTAGGAAGTTATAGAAACTTTGCTTTAAAAAAATCTCACCAAGTCAGGACAATCATGGTTTCACATAAATATTAGGTTGGTGCAAAAGTAATTGGAGTTTTTGCCATTAAATTACTATTGCACCAACCTAATATTAGTATCACCCTATCTGACTCTAAAAATTCATCTTTAAGACCCTTTGATATTTGGCCTCTGATCATTTTTCCAGTCTCATTTTATGCCACCCTCCCTAAACACATCTCCCTTTAGATATTCAACCTTTCCTTTGGTTTTATGAATACCCTAAAGAACTGGCATGAGCTTTTTTTCTATGCCAGAATCACTCTGCCTCCAGTTCACTGGTCAACTCTTACTCATTTCCCAAGTTACACTTGAAACATTTCTTCCCTAGGGAGGCTTTCTTTGACACTACAGTCTTATACCCAAATTAATTCATTAATTCTCCATTAATTGCTCTAATAAAACGTTCACTTCCCTTTTGTAGTCTTCCCATCATTGTAGGTGAAGACTTTGTTTAATATCTATCTTCTCTTCTAGACTGTAAGCTCCATCAAGGCAAAAACCAGTCGTCTTTGTGACTTCTCTTCTCCTGGAGTCTGCTACAGGAGTGACTGGCACAAAGAAAGAGTTTGTAAATATGATAAGATACATGAAATGTAATGACTCTCCTTATCTCTATCACACAAATAAAGAAACTGAGATTTTTAAAAGTTTATATATAATCTTCAGTCATAATCCTGGTAAACAATAAGGAATTATTTTTAAGCTCACATAAAAAGAATTTACTTAAAAAATAAAATTATAGAGGAAGCTTGGGACACAACAAAAATATACAATTTCTATTAATACACTTACCAAGACATGAGAATATACCATATAAAAAATTATGAAACTATGCTAAAGAACAAAAAAGAAATTTTTGAAACTTTTGTTTTTGGCTCAGGGGTACATGTGCAGGTTTGAAACATATGTAAACTCATATCATGGGGGTCTGTTGTACAGGTTATTTCATCACCCAGATGCTAAGCCTAGTACCCAATATTTATCTTTTCTACTCTTCTCCCTCCTCCCGCCCTGTACCTCAAGTGGACCCCAGTGTCTATCGCTCCCTTCTTTGTGTTCATTAGTTATCACCATTTAGCTCCCACTTATAAGTGAGTACATATGGTATTTGGCTTTCTTTTCCTGTGTCAAGTTTGCTAAAGATAGTGGCCCCCAGCTTCATCAATTTTCCTGCAAAAGACATGATCTCATTCTTTTTTGTGTGTGCATAGTATTCTATGGTGTATGTAGGCCACATTTTCTTCATGCAATTTGTCATTGATGGGCATTGAAGTTAACACCATGTCTTCGCTATTGTAAATAGTGCTGCAATGAACATTTGTATGCATGTGTATTTATGGTAGAATAATTTTTATTCCTTTGGGTATATACCCAGTAATGAAATTCTTGGGTCAAATGGTAGTTCTGTTTTTAGCTCTTTGAGAAATCATCATACTGCTTTCCACAATGGTTGAACTAATTTACACTCCCACCAAAAGTGGTGTTCACTTTTCTCTACAATCTCATCAGTATCTGTTTTTTTTTTTACTTTTTCATAATAGCCATTCTGACTGATGTGAGATGGTATCTCATTTTGGTTATGATTTGCATTTCTCTAATGATCAGTGATATTGAGGTTTTTTTCATAAGCTTCTTGGCCACATGTATGCCTTATCTTAAAAAAAGTTTGTTCCTGTCCTTTGCCCTCTTTTTAATGAGGTTGTTTTTCTCTTGTAAATTTGTTTAAGTCCCTTATAGATGCTGGATATTAAACCTTTGTCAGATGCATAGTTTGCAAAACTTTCCTCCCATTCTGTAGGTTGTTTATTCTGTTGATGATAGTTTCTTTTGCTGTGCAGGAACTCTTAAGTTTAATTGCATCCCACTCATCAATTTTTGCTTTTGTTGCAATTCTTTTTGGCACCTTTGTCACTAATCTTTTCCCATTTCTATTCCAGGATGGTATTGTCTAGGTTGTCTTCCAGGGATTTTATAGTTTGGGGTTTTACATTTAAGTCTAAGTCACCTTGAGTTGATTTTTGCATATGGTGTAAGGAAGTGGTCCAGTTTCAACCTTTTGCTTCCAGCACCATTTATTAAACAGGGACTATTTTCCCCACTGCTTGTTTTTGTCATCCTTGTCAAAGATCACACAGTCATAGGTCTTATTTCTGGACTCTCTATTATTCTGTTTCATTGGTCCATGTTTCTGTTTTTGTAGCAGTACCATGCTGTTTTGTTTACTGTGGCTCTGTAGTATAGTTTGAAGTTGGATAACGTGATGCCTCCAGCTTTGTTCTTTTTGCTTAGGATTGCCTTGGCTATTTGGGACCTTTTTTGGTTCCAAATGAATTTAAAATAGCTTTTTCTACTTCTGTGAAGAATGTCATTGGTAGTTTGATAGAAACAGCATTGGCCAGCTGTAATGGCTCACACCTGTAATCCCAGCACTTTGGGAGGCCCAGGAAGGTGGATCGCCTGAGGTCAGGAGTTCAAGACCAGCTTGGTAAACGTGGTGAAACTCCTTCTCTTCAAAAAATACAACAAGTATCCAGGTGTGGTGGTACACATCTGTAATCCCAACTACTCAGGAGGCTGAGGAACAAGAATCACTTGAACCTGACAGGCAGAGGTTGCAGTGACCTGAAATTCTGCCATTGCACTCCAGCCTGGGCAATAGAATGAGATTCTGTCTCAAAAAAAAAAAAAAAAACAGAAATTTCAAAAAAGACAAAAAAATAGCATTGAATGTGTAAATTGCTTTGGGTAGTATGGCCATTTTAATGATATTGATTCTTCCTAACCATAAGCATGGAATGTTTTTCCATGTGTTTATGTCATCTCTGATTTCTTCAAGCAGTGTTTTGTAATTCTCATTGTAGAGATCTTTCACCTCCCTGGTTAGCTGTATTTTATTTTTGGTGGCAATTGTGAATGGGATTGTCTTCCCAATTTGGCTCTTGGCTTGACTATTATTGGTGTGTAGCAATGCTAGTGATTTTTGTACATTGATTTTGTATCCTGAGACTTTGCTGATGTTGTTTAACAGCTTACAGAGCTTTTGGGCCAAGACTATGTGGTTTTCTAGGTATAGAAACATGTTGTCTGCAAAGATGGATAGTTTGACTTCCTCTCTTCCTATCTGGATGCACTTTCTTTCTTTCTGTTGCCTGATTGTTCTGACCAGGACTTCCAATACCATGTTGAATGGGAGTGGAGATAAAGGACATCCTTATCTTGTGCTGCTTTTCAAGGGGAATGCTTCCAGCTTTTCCCCATTCAAAATAATATTGGCTGTGTCATCTTTCATAGATGACTGTTATTATTTTGGGGTATGTTCCTTTAATATCTAGTTTATAGAGAGTTTTTAACGTGAAGGAATGTTTAATTTTATCAAAAGTTTTTCTGCATCTATTGAGATTATCTTTTTTTTAGTTTTGTTTATGTGATGAATCACATTTATTGATTGGCATAGGTTGAATCAACCTTGCATACCAGAGATGAAGCCTGCTTGATGGTGGTGAATTTGTTGAGGATTATTGCATAGTGTTACTGGCTTGAAGTTTTCTTCTTTTATTGTGTCTCTGCCAGGTTTTGGTATCAGGATGGTGCTGCCCACATAGAACGAGTAGGGTAGAAGTTCCTCTTCCTCAATTTTTTGTAACAGTATCAGCAGGAATGGCACTTGCTCTTATTTGTACATCTGGTATAATTATTCTGTGAATCCTTCTGGTCCTGGGCTTTTTTTTTTCAGTTGGTAGGGTAGGCTATTTATTATGCATTCAACATTGGAATTTGTTATTGGTCTGTTCAGGGAATCAATTTCTTCCTGGTTCAGTCTTGGGAAGGTGTATGTGTCCAGGAATTTACCCATCTCTTCTCCGTTTTTTAGTTTGTGTGCATAGAGGTGTTTATAGGAGTTTGTGATGGTTATTTTTATGTCTGTGGGGTCAGCGGTACCATCTCCTTTGTCATTTCTAATTGTGTTTATTTGCATATTCTTTTTTATTAGTCTAGCTAGAGGCTTATCTACGTTATTATTTAAAAAGAATCAACTCCTGGATTTGTTGATCTTTTAAATGGTTTTTCATATTTTGGCTTCCTTCAGTTCAACTCTGATTTTGTTTATTTATTGTATTGTGCTAGCCTTGGGGTTGATTTGTTCTTGCTTCTCTAATTCTTTCAGTTGTGTTGTTCACTTGAAACAACAAGTTCAGTTAGGTTGTTAACTTGAAATTTTTCTAATTTTATGATGTGGGCATTTAGTGCTACGAATTTCCCTCAGCGCTGTGTTAGCTATGTCCCAGAGATTCTGGTATGTTGTAATTTTGTTCTCATTATTTTCAAAAATCTTTTTAATTTCTGCCTGAATTTCATCCTTTCCCAAAAGTTATTCAGGAGCTTATTGCCAATGTAATCGCATAGTTTTAAGTGATTTTTTTAAAATCTTGACTTATGTTTATATTGTGCTGTGGTCCCTGTGTGTACCTGGTATAATTTCAATTCTTTCGCATTTGTTGAGGATTGTTTTATGTCCAGTTTATGGACATATGTGGTAGATTTTAGAGTAAATTCCATGTGGTGATGTGAGGAATTTATATTCTGTTGTTTAGGGGTGAAGAGTTCTGTAGATATCTACCAGATCCATTTGGTCTAATGTTGAGTTCAGGTCGCAAATATGTTTGTTAATTTTCTGCCTCGATCTCTCTAATACTGCTAGTGGAGTGTTGAAGTCTCCTACTATTATTCTGTGGGAGTCTAAATCTCTTTGTGGGCCTCTAAAAGTTGCTTTATGAATCTGGGTACTCTTGTATTGGGTGCAAATATATTTAGGATAGTTAAGTCTTCTTGTTGAATTGAACCTTTTACCATTATGTAATGCTCTTCTTTGTCTTTCTCGCTCATTGTTTTTTTAGAGTCTGTTCTATCTGAAAATAGAATTGCAACCCCTGCTTTTTTCTGATTTCCATTTGCTTGGTAGATTTTCCTGCATCCCTTTATTTTTAGCTGATGGGTGTCATTATGTGTGAGACAGTCTCTGGAAGACATCTTGCCATTGGGTCTTGCTTTTTTATCCAAGCTTGCCACTCTGTGTCTTTTAAACGAAGGATTTATCCCATTTACATTCAACATTAGTATTAATATATGTGGATTTTATCCTGTCATTGTGTTGTTACAGGTTATTACTGGTTATTGTGTTGTTACAGGTTATTATGCTGTGTGTTACAGGTTATTAAGCTGGCTTGTTTGTGTGATTGCTTTACAGTGTCACTGGTCTGTGTATTTAAGTGTGTTGTATTAGCTGGTAACAGTTTTTCCTTTATTTAGTGCTCCTTTCAAGATCTCTTATAAGGAAAGTCTGGAGGTAACTAACTCCCTCAACATTTGCTTATCTGAAAATGATCTTACTTCTTTTTTACTTGGAAATCTTAGTTTGGTTGGATATGAAATTGTTGGTTGAAGACTTTTTTCTTTAAAATGTTGAATAGAGACCGCCAATTTCTTCTGACTTGCAGGGTTTGAGCTGAGAGGTCTGCTATTAGCCTGATGGGGTTCCCCTTATAGGTGACCTGCCCTTTCTCTCTAGCTGCCTTTAACTTCTTTCATTCATTTCAAGCTTGGAAAATCCAATGATTACGTGTCTTGAGGATAATGAGCTTGTGTAGAACCTGGTAGGGGTTCTCTGTATTTTCTGAATTTGACTGTTGGCTTCTGTAGCAAGGTTGGGGAATTTTTCATGAAAATATCTTTAAATAGGTATTCCAAGTTGTTTGTTTTCTCCCCATCCCTTTGAGGGATGCCAGTGATTTGTAGATTTTGGCCTCTTCACATAACCCCATATTTCTCAAGGTTTTGTTCCTTCCTTTTCATTCATTTTCTTTATTTTTGTCTGAATGTCTTATTACAAAAAGCCAATCTTCAAGTTCTGAAATTCTTTCCTCTGCTTCGTCTATTCTGCTGTTAATACTTGTGATTGCATTGTGAAATTCTTGCAGTGTGTTTTTCAGCTCTGTCAGATATGTTCGGTTCTTTTTTATAACAGCTGTTTTATCTTTCGGCTCCTGTATTATTTAATTGTGATTCTTAGTTTTCTTGGATCACTTTTTACCATTCTCCTGAATTTTGATGATCTTCATTTACATCCATATTCTGAATTCTATCTCTGTCATTTCAGTCAGGTCAGCCTGGTTAAGAACCCTGTTGAAGAACTGCTGCGATCATTTGGAGGACATGCGACACTGTGGTCATTTGAGTTATTGGAGTTCTTGCATTGGTTTTTTTCTCATCTCTGCATGTGGGTGTTCCTTTAACTGCAGCGCACACTGAGTACAGTAAATAGACTTATTTTCTAGATGTTTTCATAGGGCAAGGCTTTGTGCAGGGTCTTTATTTGAAGCTAACTTCTTGTCTTTGGTTTCATGTTAGCAAGGTATTTTTGGTGTTACAGCTTTGGGATGTGATACAGTAGGTGGCGCTTAGGTGTACTGGTCAGTTGATCTTGCTTGGTCATGTGGCTCCCCTAGATTTCCTCAGAGTTGCAACTTTGGTCCCTCTCAATGCTCTGAAAGTATGGGTTCCTCTCCCACTGTAGTGCTAGCTGTAGATCACAGCTTGGCACTCCTGGGCTGCCCACTTCAACTCTGGGGTGATCTCAAGGTGTATTTTCCTTCCCCAACTTGAAGGCAGCAAAGGAAGGGACCTTAGTAGTGGTTGTGGCCAAAAGTCTTTTGCTTGTCTACTGGGGGCTCCACCACAAGGAGATGCAGGTCAGCACTTGCTCAATGCAATTGATACAGGAGATAGAAAGAAATTATTTAGGCAGATAGTGAAGGTAAAAGAGTCTCAGCAGAATTTCCCTTTTAACAAAAAGCAGCTTAAAAAATCATTTCTTTTCTAACAAAGAGCAGCCTGAAAAATCGAGTTGCAAACATAGATAAGCAAGCTGGAAGATTGCACAGGTGAATGCCAGCAGCTGTGCCAATAGAAGATGGCTACCTGGGGGCCAGGTATGTTCAACATGGAGGCTCCATCTTCCCTTCTCTTTTTCACCACGTGTACAGTAAAGAAACAGGCAACATGATGCCAGCAAGGCAGAGAACCCATCTGCATAATAAAAGATTAGGTGGGAGCGGCCAGATTTTCACACCCTATGCAAATAGCACACCTGGTCCAACCAATTTTGCATATTCTATGTAAATCAGACACCAGCTCCTCAGGCTCATCTATCAAACCCGCTGCATTTCATCACAGAAGTGGCAACCCATTTCTCTAGGACCCTTCTCTGTAGCGAGAGCTTCTCTCCTTTTCTCACCTATTAGACTTCCACTCTGAACATCACTCTTGTGTCTGTATCCTAGTTTTCTATAGCTCAGAGACAACAAATCTTGAGTAGACCCCAGACAACGATGCCACTTCACAATCAGCCCAGGATGAGCGTTTATTCTGTGAGCCAAAGTCCAGGATTTCCTGTCTGGTGACAAGCACAGAGTGAGGGGCACCTATGGGAGACAAACCTCTCCTCTCCTTGGGTTGACTGCAGTTTGTTGGAGGTGCAGATAAGGCACTTAGGGTCTTTGTTCATTCACTAGTCTGATAGTGACAAGGGCAGTTCCACTGCAGAAGGAGTGGCAGAGGCTTTTAGTTACCCTTGGGGGCTCCACCTCCAAGAAATGTGGAGCTGCTGTTAGTGAGGGTGTTCAGCCAGTGGGCTGGGGTGGCTGTACTCCTGGCATGACCTTGGGGTTACAGTTGTTAGGGAACAGGGTGTTGAAGGCTCATAAGCAAAAGAGATTGGCCTCTTCTCTGTATGGTGGCTGTGGCATGCTGTAAGCTTGAGTGTAGCTCTCAGGCTCTTTGTTTCTTCCTCAAACCAAGGGCAGCAGAAATAGAACTATTACTGTGGCAGTGGCAGAGGGGCTGTTGTAAGTATCTAGGAGTCTCTCCCCAGGGAAACTCCAGTCCACTACCAGTGGGTATGCTTAGCCATGGATGGGGCAACTGTTCTGCATTCATGAGCCAGGGGCCTTGCCTGGTGAAAAGTGAGGGTGAGGGTTCCCAGGGAAGAGGGGCTGGACTCCTCTCCGTATGGTGGCTGCAGCGTGCTGAAAGTGCCAGTGTAATAACTAGGCTCTTTGTTCCTTCTCTGGGCTGTTAGGGCTGTAGGGCCGCACCACTGTAGGGGCAGAGGTGTTGTGGGTTGACTTTGGGGTTTCCTCCTTGGAGAAATGCTGGGCTGTCTCTGATTGCAGTGATCGTGTGGGGTAAGAATGGTTGTGCTAGAGTTCCAGGTTGAGCAGCCCTACCCAGTTAGGAGAGGTGAGGACCAGGATCTGCATGGAGAACAGTCTGGCCATGGAGAACAGTCTGGCCACTTTTCTGTGAGGTAGTTCCTCTGTGCTGGGGGTCCAGACCAGCCCTCGGTCCACACAGACTCTCCCAAGCCTGGAGACAGGAAAGGTGAAGGCAGCAAGACAGCAAAGATGCCAACCTATCCCTCCCATTGAGAGCTCTGTCCAAGGAGTTGCAGAGCTGCTACTGGCTCGATATTCCCAGCAGGGAGTTGCTGGAGATCCAGGACAAGAGGACCTGCCCATTTGAGGAGGTATGGAAACAGGCACCCATGTAACAGACTTAACACTTTTCCATAGGGCTGCTGCAGTATGCAGCAGCTGTGCCACTCCAGGATCTAGTTGCCTTGGACTCCCTAGAGCCCTAAGGCCACAATGGCTGAGGCTGTGAATCAGCAAAGATGGTCATCCGCCCCTGACCCGGGAGCTCTAGTCTTATACCCAGGAGGTGTATGACTGCTACCCATGCCAGTTTATCTTTGGGATTGATGTCAGATTAATATGACTATGTAATTAGTATGATTATGTTCTACTCTTTAGAACATACCTCAAAATAATAAGAGCATTCTATGACAAACCCACAGGCAACATCAAACTGAATGGGCAAAAGCTGGAAGCATTTCCCTTGAGAACCAGAACAAGACAATGGTGGTCACTTTTACCACTCCTATTCAACATAGTATTGAAAGTTCTAGCCATAGCAATCAGGGGAGAGAAAAAAATGAAAGGCATCTAAATAAAAAAGAGATGAAGTAAAACTATCTCTTTGCAGATGATATCATTCTATGTCTAGAAACCCCCATAGTCTCTGCTGAAAAGCTCCCAGGTCTGATAAAAAAAAGTTCAGCAAAGTTTCAGGATATCAATGTATGAAAATCAGTAAAATTTTATACACCAACAACATCCCAGTTGGGTGCCAAATCAGTAATGCAACCCCACTTGCAATAGCCACACAAAAATAAAATATCTAGGAATACAGCTAACCAGGGAGGAGAAAGATCTCTACACGAAATACAAAATACTGCTGAAAGAAATCAGAGATGACACAGACAAATGGAGAAGTATTCCATGTTCATGGATAAGAATAATCAATATTGTCAAAATGGCCATATGGTTCCAAGCAAATTACACATTCAGTGCTATTCTTCCCAAACTACCAATGACATTCTTCACAGAATTAGAAAAAAAAAAAACTATTCTAAAATTCAGATGGAACAAAAAGGAGGCCAAATAGCCAAGGCAATTCTGAGCAAAAAGAACAAAGCTGGAAGCATCACCTTACCCAACTTCAAACTACAAGGCTACAATATTAGTGTCCAAAAGAGCATGGTACTGGTACAAAATAGACACATAAACCAATAGAACAGGTTATAGAACCTAGAAATAAAGCTATACATCTACAACCATCTGATCTTTGACAAAGATTACAATAACAAGCAATGGGAAAAGGATTCAATAAATGATGCAGGGAAAACTCGCTAGCCATATGCAAAAGATTGAAACAGGACCCCTTTCTTATGCCATATACAAAAATCAACTCGAGATGGATTAAAGACTTCTATTAGTCCATTTTCACATTGCTATAAAGAACTATCTGAGACTTGGAAACTTATAATAAAAAAAGAGGTTTAATTGACTCACAGTTCCACAGGCTGTACAGGAAGCATGGCTGTGGAGGCCTCAAGAAACTTACAACCATGGTGGAAGAAGAAGAGGAAGAAGGCATGTCCTACATGGCTGGAGCAAGAGGAAGAGTGAGTAAAGGGGGAGATGCCACACACTTTCAAACAACCAGATCTCATGAGAACTCACTATCACAAGAACAGCAAGGGAGAAGTCCACCCCAATGATCCAATCACTTCCCACCAGGCCCTTCCTCCAACACTGGGTATTAAAATTTGACATGATATTTGGGCAGGGACACAAATCCAAACCATATCATTCTACCCTTGGCCCCTCCCAATCTCATGTCCTTCTCACATTGCAAAATACAACTATCCCTTCTCAACAGTCCCCCAAGTCTTAACTCATTTCAGAATTAACTCAAAAGTCCAGAGTCCAAAGTCTCATCTTAAACAAGGCAAGTTCCTTCTGCCTATGAGCCTGTAAAATAAAAAAAAAAAAGTTAGTTACTTCCAAGATACAATGAGGGTACAGTCACTGTGTCAATATCCCTGTCCCAAAAGGGAGAAATCAGCCAAAACAAAGGGGCTAAAGACCCCATGCAAGTCCAAAACCCAGCAGGGCAATCATTAAACCTTAAAGCTCCAAAATAATCCCCTTTGACTCCATGTCTCATATCCAGTCCACACTGATTCAAGGGGCAGGCTTTCAAGGCATTGGGCAGCTCCACACCTGTGACTCTGCAGGTACAGCCCCCTCGGCTGTTTTCATGGGCTGGTGTTGAGTGCATGTGGCTTTTCCAGGAACACAGTGCAAGCTGCTGGTGGATCTACCATTCTGGGGTCTGGAGGATGGTGGCCCTCTTCTCACAGCTCCTCTAGGCAATTCCCCAGAGGGAACTCTGTGTGGGAGTTTCAACCCCATATTTCCTCTCCACACTGCCCTAGTAGAGGTTCCATTAGGGCTTCACCTCAGCAGCAAACTTCTGCTTAGATATTCAGGAATTGCCATACATCTTCTGAAATCTCGACAGAGGGTCCCATGCCTCAACTCTTGCCCTCTGCATAGCCACAGGCTTAACACCACATGGAAGCCACCAAGGCATACAGCTTACACCCTCTGGAGCAGTGGCCTGAGACATATCTGAGGCCCATTTAGTTACAGCTGGAGCTGGAGCAGCTGGGATGCAGGAAGCAGTGTCCTGAGCTCATGCAGGGAAGCAGGGCCCTCGCCTCTGCCCACAAATCCATTCTTTCCATTCTAGGCCTCCAGGCCTGTGCTGGGAGATGCTGCCATGAAGTTCTCTGAAATGACTTTGAGGCATTTTCCCCATTGTTTTGGCTACTGACATTCAGCTCCTCATTACTTATGCAAATTTCTGAAACCAGCTTCAATTCATCCCCAGAAAACGGGTTTTTCTTTTCTACTACATTGTCAGGCTGCAAATTTTCTTAACTGTTATGCTCTGCTTTCCTTTTAAATATAAAAAAAGTTCCAGTTTCAGATTATCTCTTTGCTCATGCATATAACTTACTGTGTTAGAAGCAGCCAGACCACATCTTGAGTGCTTTGCTGTTTAGAAATTCCTTCTGCCAAATACTCTAAATCATCTCTTTCAAGTTCAAACTTCCACAGATCTCCAGGGAAGAGGCAAAATGCCTCCAAACTCTTTGCTAACGCATAACAAAAGTGACCTTTGCTCCAGTTCCCAATAAGTTTTCGCATCTCCATCTGAAACCACCTCAACCTGGACTTCATTATCCATATCACTATCAGCATTTTGTTCCCAAGAATTTAACAAGTCTCTAGAAAGTTCAAAACTTTCTCTCATCTTCCTGTCATCTTCTGAGCTCTCCAAACTGTTCCAACCTCTGCCCATTAGCCCCTTGCAAAGCTGCTTCCACACCATTCTCACATTGCTATAAGAAACTAGCTGAGACTGGTTAATTTATAAAGAAAAGAGGTTTAATTGACTTACAGTTCTGCAGGCTGTACAGGCAGCATGGTTGTGGAGTCCTCAGGAAACTTACAATCATGCCAAAAGGCAAAGAAGAAGGAGGCACATCCTACATGGCTAGAACAGGATGAAGAGATAATGAAGTGGGAGGTGCTGCACACTCCCAAACAACCAGATATTGTGAGAACTCACTCACAATCATGAGAACAGCAAGGGGGAAATCTGCCCCCATTAGCCAAGCACCTCCCACCAGGCCTGTTCTCCAACACTGGGGATTATAATTTGACATGAGATTTGGGAGGGGACGCAAATCCAAACCATATCAAGACTTAAGTGTGAAACCTAAAACTATAAAAACCTTGAAAGATAACCTAGGAAACACCATTCTGGACATGGGCCTTGGCAAAGATTTCATGAGAAGACACCAAAAGCAACTGCAGCAAAAACAAAAATTGACAAGTGAGACCTAATCAAATCAAAGTGATTCTGTACAGCAAAAAAAACTATCAATGGAGTAAACAGACAACCCACAGTATTGGAGAAAATATTTGCAAACTATGCATCTGACAAAGGCCTAATATCCATCATCTGTAAGGAACTTAAATTAACAAACAACAAACAAACAATCCCACTAAAAAGTGGGCAAAGAACATGAACAGACACTTTTCAGAAGACTTACGTGTGGCCAACAAGTATATGAAAAAAGTTCAATATCACTAATCATTAAAGAAATACAAATAAAGCTACACTGAGATACCATCTTATGCCAGTTGGAAGGCTATTATTAAAAAGTCAAAATATAACAGATGTTTACAAGGTTGCAGAGAAAAGGGAACGCTTACACGCTGCTGGTGGAAATGTAAACTAATTCAGTGACTGTGGAAAGTAGTCTGGAGTTTTCTCAAAGAACTTAAAATGGAAGTACCATTTAACCAGCAATTCCATTATTGAGGATTTACCCAAAGGAATGTAAATTGTTATATCATAAAGACACATGCACATGAATGTTCATCACAGCACTATTCACAATAGGAAAGACATGGAATCAACCTGGATGCCCATCAACAATAGACTGGATAAAGAAAATGTGTACATATAAACCATGGAATACTACTCAACCATAAAATATAATAAGAACATGTCCTTTGCAGCAACATGGATGGAGCTGGAGGTCATTATCCTAATGAACTAATGCAGGAACAGAAAACCAAATACCACATGTTCTCACTGATAAGTGGGACCTTAATCTTGAATACCCACAAAAACAGGAAGAGAAAAATAGACACCACAGCCTACTTGAGGGTAGAAGGTGAGAGGAAGGTAGGGATTAAAAACCTACCTATTGGGTACTGTGCTTATTTCCTGAGTGATGAAATAATTTGTACAGCAAACCTCTGTGATATGCAAATTACCTATATAACAAACTTGCGCATGCACCCCTAAAACTAAAGTTTAAAAAGTCTACCTTTCAATCAGTTACTCTGCCCAGCCTATAAATTTTTGTTAAAATCTTGTTCAATGACATTTTCTGAAACCAAAAATGTAAATTATTCAAATGCAATATATTGTACACTTAAAACTGATGCTAAAGAGAAATATTCCTTCAGACTTCATAATATAGTTCAACATATCAATGGAATACAATATTTAAAGACAAAGTTCTTGTATTAGTTTTCCTGGGCTATCATAGCAAAGTACCATAAACTGAATGGCCTAAACAAATAAATGCATTGTCTCACAATACTGGAGATTGAAACTGCAAGATCAAGGTATCAAGAGGGTTGGTTCTTTCTGAGAGCTGGGAGGAAGAATCTGTTTCATGCCTCCCCACTAACTGCTGGTGGTCTGCTAGCACTCCTGGGAATTCCTTGGCTTGCAAAAGCATTTTCCTAAGTGCTTCTTTAATTTCATCTGGCATTCTTCTTATGTGCATGATTGGCTTCAAAATTTCTCCTTTTAATAAGAACACATGTCATATTGGATTGGGGCACACCCTAATGACTTCGTTTTAATTTCACTACCTCTGTAAAGACTCTACCTCCAAATAAGGTCATATTCTATGATACTGGGAGTTAGGCCTTCAATATATAAACTTGGGGACGCACAACTGAACTAATAACAGTCATAGTTGATCCATTGGTATGATTAATGTAGTATTAAGTAGAGTGACTATACTTCCAACTATAACATCAAGTAACACTTACTTGTAAATTCATAATAATGTTAACTGAAACGATACATGCAAGCCTCTTTAAACCTGGATTCCTTTTTATAAGACTTCTCTTTTTTTCATGTTCTCAAAAATATTTAATGATACAGAAGTTCATCTCTTCACTGAAAAGAGCTGGACAGAAACCATACATGTAGTAGGACCCAGATTTTGTAAAACACACACACACACACAGCAAAACGCCAGATGAGATACCCTTGCAGTGTCACAGTGATTACCTATGTGGTAGTGGACTTGAGGATCATTTTCTACATGTGTAAGTGGCATATAGAATTTTAATAGCAACGATGGGGGTTTATGAAAAACTTTGAGGAATGCATTATCAATGGGGGCCGTGGAGCTTGCTTCCCCAAGGGCTCTTTGAACATAGGAAGCTTGGCAGCAAGAACAATTTTAAGATGACCCTGCCCAGAGGCAGGATGAGTAAGTAGCTGCAGATTCATTTAGTTTCTGCATCATTCCAACATGACTGTGGAAAATACAATTGTGGTGCCGGCCTCCCAAGAGTTTATCATCTAATCAAAGGCAGGCCACACACTAAGAGTTACCAATGGTTTTCTACATGCCAGAGGCAGTGCTAAATCCTTTATAGACATGATCTCACTTACTCCTCACCAGGAACACTGAGGGAAAGACAATTACTATATCTTCAAAAAACAGTATAGAGTAAGAATATTTCAGAAAAAATTAATGACAAGAAGTTATCAAATTTTTTAGTCTTATGCAAAGTAAAAGAAAATAATTTAGAGCATTCTACAATTCTTAAAGATAAGTTTTATTGAAGGAAGAAAACGTTTAATGTCACAGCATAGATTTTATATTAAATGTAGTAAACATCTGTTTAGGTGTTTACTTTTTGAAATTGTAAAATCAATGAAATATGAAAAAATGTTTTATATAATTTTAAGTTTTACAGAGAGGATGTAAATGTAGTCACGTATGTCATTTTCTGAGATCCAATGTCTTCACAAAAGTTATGATAATTAAAATGGTACTCCAAAATTGATATAATTATAAAACAACTCACATCTAATTCTAAGCTGTAGTAATTGAGCCTAGAGTGAGATTTATTCTGTGGTTAAGAAAGGCAATGGCATTTACAACTAGAATAAATTAAAGCAAATGAAGAGGAAAATTTTGTTCTGTGTAATATTTAGTTGATTATAGTCTTAATTGGGTATGCCAATCCATGTTCATCAATAGGGGATATGGTGTGTGCAAAAAATGAGGAAAAATTTATCACCAAGGCATAGCCTTTGTTTCACAAGCAGAGAAATTGTTGTAATATAATCTATCTGAATTTCTTAATGCCATACTGAAAGTATTCAAAAATGTGGGTAAAACACAACATTGCTGAACATTATTTCTCTTATACTTTGATTTGGAGAGAGAATTTGAAAGTATTTATGTTGCTTTAGGTAAACTTATCTCTTCATGATTTCTATCCCTTTAAAGAAATTATATTGTATTTAACTCTATATGTTTATTAAAATTGCAACAACTAATTCATTAGTTTAAATATAATTTTTGAAAAGAACTATTACATCAATATATTTGGATTTCAATTCTGAATGTAAGATTATTACTGACTAATAGGTATGTAGTAGGTAGAATAATGCTGCCTCAAAGATGTCCATGTCCCAATTCCCAGAATCTGAGTATGTTAACTTCCACGGCAAAAGATGTGATTTATCAATTTGTATCTGTGATGGACATATTTGTAGATTAGACTATGGATGAAATTAAGTCAAGGATCTTGAGATAGGAAGGCTATGATGGAATATCCAGGAGGGACTCAATGGAATCACAAGCATTTATATCCACGTAAAAGGGAGGCAGGAGCATCAGCGTCAAGGAAAGAGATATAATGACAGAAGCAGAGGTCAAAGTGATGTGATAGCTCGTGTTGAAGACAGAAGAGATCTATGAGTGAGCAGCCTTCTAGAAGACAGAAAAGGAAGGAAATTGAATCTCACCTAGGGTTTTCAGAAGGAACACAACTCTACTAACATCTTGATTTTAGCTTCTTGAGACCCATTTCAGACTTCAGACTGTAACATAATATATTGTTATTGTTTTAAGCCATTAAATTTGTGATAATTTGTTACAACAGCAAAAGGAAACTAAAACAGATCAATTTTATGATTGCAAGAAGCTAATAACAATAAAAATAATATCAACCTTTTAAAAAATTCTTAGAACTAAACATATCCTTTGTGACTCAGCAATGGCACCTTTTAATATTTATGCTACAAAAAAGGAAAACTATGTCCATATAAGCCTTATTTGTAATAATCAAATACTGAAGAGAACCCAAATTTCCTTTAATATGTGAATGATTGAGCCAACTCTGCTATATCTTATGAGTCTTTAGTAATTTATTAGTATATAGAGAGATCACATACGTATGTTCTATTTCATTGCTATTAGATGCAGAGTAAGTAAACTCATTTTCTGTTTAAATAAAAGAAGATGGGAAGGAAGAGGAAGATGAAGAGCAGGAATAAGGAGGACAAAGAGGAAGAAGAAAAGCCACCAAAATAATACAAGCATGATTGCCTATAAAATATAGCTTTACCGGCCGGGCATGGTGGATCATGCCTATAATCCCAGCACTTTGGGAGGCTGAGGTGGGAGGATCACGAGGTCAAGAAATTGATACCATCCTGGCCAACACGGTGAAACCCTGTCTCCACTAAAAATAAAAAAAAATTAGCTGGTCATTGTGGCACGCACCTGTAGTCCTAGCTTCTTGGGAGGCTGAGGCAGAAGAATCTCTTGAACCCAGAAGGCGGAGGTTACAATGAGCCGAGATCGCACCTCTGCACTCCAGCCTGGTGACAGAATGAGACTCCATCTTAAAAATATATATATATAAAAAAATACATATTTATAATATACATCATATATGTAATATATTATAATATTTGTAACACAATATATTTATAATATAATATTTATTATATATGTGTAATATATATTATAAAATATATATGTAATATAATTATAATATATAAATATATATTGTTATATATTATAAATATATATTATATTATAAATTCTTCCTTGATTCTTGGTGAAGCTATATATATGTATATATCAAGGAAGAATTTATAATAGCATACTTGAAACATTTGGCACTTGAAGTTTAGTGTATCAAGAAGGCTTATATACTTTAAATATAAATACATTTGCAACTCTTTCTGTCTTCTATGCATCTTATATAAGGAATATAAAAGTTTTCAGCAATTCACTATCTTCTGAGCTAAATATAAACATTCATTTTTTGAAATAATTCTTCCCACATCAAGGATTCTTCAACTAGGAAATGTATTTTTCACAACTCATTCAAATAGGAAAATGTTATGTAGAAAACAACTGTTGTCCAAAGTAACAGAATTGCTACAGAATAAACAAGGAAAACAAATTAATCTAAAGTATTTAGTGCCAACTCTAGTTTGCAATTTACCAGCACAATATTTTGAGACATCTTTATTTTGTCTGGTTTTCTTTTGTTTCCAGTAAATCATAAGAAACTTCTGGAAGTTTGATTAAGAATTATACTTTATCATTATTATAGAAGAAATATTAGTTTAAAATAATTTAAATCTTAATCAGTTTGTGTACTTAATTTAAAACCTCATCAGATGATTTTATTCCTTAAAAAAACACAAATTCCTTTTTCCTCTCTCTTAAAAAAAAATCATTTAAATGAGTCTAAAGAGTGTTAGTCGTTTAAAATTCTGAAGGAGAGTTAAATTGAGGAACTAATCTTAATTTTCTCAAAAAATTAATTTTCTCAAAAAAAGATTATATTTTTTATCACTTCTCTTTTAAACTTTCCAGGTTCCACTCCTGTGAAAATAGTTGCATCTTCTCATAGGAACATATGGTATCTTGTACAATATTTTAAATAAGTTGTCCCACTTAATTATGACTATTTTGTTACCTAAACTGCATCATATACACTATTATTGGTGCCATGTGGGCAAACATATTGTCTTTTTTCATATTTCTGTATCTAATGATTAAGCTATGCCTGAAGTGTAGGCAACGCTCCATATATGTTGTTCAATTAACTGCATTATTAACTTAGTGCATTTGAGTAACAGCATAGCTTAAAGATTACTTTTGAATGAATCCATGTAAAGTTGGGCTGCATATTCTGATAATAATCCACACTTGAAACTGCTCACTTTTGGAGAAGAAACTCAGGTTAAATTTTCAAAATAAACTGTCTTTTGCCAACAGTTCTTTCATTTATTCTCTCTGTATTTGACATACACTCTACCACAACAAATATTTCTACTAGACTAGATCTCCAAAGTATTTTGCTGCTTCTCATCCTAATACCCTCATTTTCCATATTTCTCCCATTTTCTCTACTCCATTTTTATGTACACAATAATTATCTAGTGAAATGTTTCCTTGATAACATACTATTATATCACTAAAGCTGGTCAATCGTTTATCTTTAATTGATGTAAAGGGATGCACAGGGAAAGGATGATGAAGCCATGAACTTTAGGTTTCTAAACTTTTTTCCCTCCACTCAAGATAAGTGTCACAACAATAGTTAATCTTCAGGGTATGCTTTCTACATAATAATGCATCACGATTAATCTCAATCTTCACAATAACCGTATTAATAAAACAAGAACTATTTCTTGCAATATCTTGGAAATTAGAAGGAAGAGGTGGAAGGAAACCAAAAGTGAAGTTCCCTGGCCTGCTCTCAATTTTTTTTGTGAAACTTGAGTAAAAGGGTCAAAAAAAGACTTTCCTTTCATAGTGTTGGAGATAGTTTTCTTTTAAGTGGATAATTCAGAAATGGAGAAATGCAAGATACAAACAAGGATAATGGACATATATGGGACATCAGATACAAATCCTCTCTCCAATTCTTATTCAAAGAAGACAATTAATTGGTAAGGATTTTCATCCTTAAAAGCTAACTCTTGCCTTAATATCAGACCAGTTTTTATTAACTTCACCAAATTGGGAATAATCATGTTTTACTTTGTTTAGTTACTCTTGTGTGAATTATTTTGTTTGTGTCTGTGCATGAAGAGAAACAGAGGTAAGAACCAGAATGATAAATGATCTGGGGGTATAAAATAATTGTTAGTAATTTTGAATCTTTATAGTTTATATTATAAAGAATGTTTAGCTAACAATCCAGAGTCTCAAAGACTATTCCAAGAATTGTCTAGTCCCACAGTCAAGCACTCCATTCCAGGAATATAAATTATATTTATATCTGACTCGCAGACTCCACTCACTCCTCAAGACACATGCTAACACTTCCACGGGGCATTCTAACCATCTCTTCCATTGACAACATTATTCTCTCCACTTTCTAAATCCCATTTAAATTTGCCTCTACCTCTATTATATCTATTAACAAAAATTCTTGTAAAGATTTTATTTCATATATACCTTTTCACCCTAGCACCTTTTTGAGGGCAAAGTTTATTTCTTAGTTATGGTGGTTTCACTTGTATTTAGTAGAGTATCTGGCACACAGTATTCTCTCAATAATTTACTCAGACTTAATATATTTTTAGCTTTGTTTATTGAAGCAGCAATTTTTACCTAATACTCCACTCTTAAAAATGATCTGTAATGGCTGAAGTTGATGAGGATTGCTTTTTTTAGGAGTGGAAATGTGTCTGTGCATCCATTTTTAAATTCATCATTTTATAACCTTTGTTATGGTTGTACCTACATGTGACTGATCATCCCGACTAGTTCATTAGCTTCTGAATGCAACACAAACATACAATAAAAAAACCTTGTTCAATGGGGGAAAAAATGACCACATAGTATGATTACGCACATGTCTTACATCACTTAGCTTAAACAACACATTGCTACTAGAAACTTGAGATTACAAGCACAGTAAACCTGTGGCTGATTAAAACTTTAACATGTTTTGTTCTGTTTCCACTAAGGCATCAATTATTCAGAAAGTAAAATTATTTAACTGTCTTCTGCAGAACACACTTATAATTAGCATATGTTTGTTTTATAGAAAAGCTTTAGATGGATGATTTTGTTTTCATAATTCCTAGTGAATACTTAATTGATATTTTAATTTGTACACCATTTTTAGACAAGAGATGGTTGTCAAATGACTTTGGATAACTACCTCAGCAGGTATGATTGTTCTATGTTAACAATTCATATGTTGTGTTTCAGCTCAATGACTTCATTACTTTTTATAAAATTATTTGGACAAAAATTACACCCTCTTAAAAGTATTATAATCTATGCCAAAAAATAATTATTGATAATCATGAAGGAAAGCTAATTAAAAGAAGGTTACTGGGAGGAGGAGAAAGACAGAAGGGAAACAAAAAGAACTCCCCTATAACAATGGTTCCCAACGTGTGGGGTTCAGATGCCGAGGGAGCCATGAGCTTATTTCAACTGGCCTGTTAATACAAGTGATTATCAAGCATTGTCTGTACACTGGTATAACATTTTACATATATGTATAAATGTTAAGTGTATGTATGTTTTTACTAATAATGTGCAAGTTATTTTTAACATATTGCAATGCTTCCATTTGTTCTTTTTCATGATATATTTTCACGGTATGAAAATGCTAAAAAGTAAAACCACATTTTTATGCATTTTCAGTATGTTTCCTCATACTTAGACAAATTAGAAACTCCTGCTTTAAAACAGTGATATCGAAAAATGCAGCATGTTTGTAAGGGTTTATTTTTCTAGATAAAATCTATGCATCACATTCAATGTTAGATTGGGGATTACAAGTAATGAATTTTATCTCAGTTCTTAAACACCTACTCATAATCTCATACTATGTTGTCCTAGAAAAAAATATTTTAAAGGAAGATTAAAGCATAAACACCTTCCATTTTCTACATAATGCATTTTTGCAGCTCACTTTGATTGCTCAAATATTAGGCATTATTTACACTGAGAGGAGGAATTAAGTAACATTTACACCTATGACGGAAAATAGACTTTTAGAGATCAGGAATCAAACTAGAAAATAAAAATGAGGAAGAAAGTTTGCAACAATATTGATAAAACCAGGTTATACCCCTTTATCTGCTATTGTTCACCTTTTGTTTTGCACCCAGACATCAAAGATAAAACCAATATTTTTCTCTGACCCAGTGCGCTAGTATTTCTATTATCCCAAGAGAGTATTTTTAACATCCCCAGAAAGTCTAGAGTCCTGGGGCTATAGCCACTCAGCAAATAAATGAGGTGTCTCATGCGGTTTGTAATTTCAGCTTGTAAGATTGTCAAATGCTTCTGAAGGTAATTACAATGCACATAGTTGCAGTTATTTTAATCATAGTTCAATGACTTTTAACAGGTATGGCTCTTAAAATGCTATAAATACAATTAAATAACTAAAAAATAAAAGTATCACATTTCTCAGAAATAAAGACCTTATTCTTGAAGTAAAAAGAAGATGCTGAGAAACTTTCTGCCTTGAGGATCTTGATATCCAGTCAGCAAATGACCAGACCCGTATATCCAGGAGTTAAAGCCTAAAGAGTGATTCATCTCTTTCCAAGTTGAGTTTTCCATTGCTTTCTCTCCTTGCAAAAGTCAATTAAGTAATTGCAGTTAGCAAAACATAAAAGATTAAATATGTTTTGCCATCTCCTTTTATAACTAGCTTTAGAAATTCCCAGCTATGATTCATGAATTCTCTATGAATTTTTGTAACTTAGTTCCTTCAGTTAATATTGTTTCAAATGTATCTGTCTTACAGTTGAGATTCCAAGTAAGATTCATACATAAAAGCAATTCTTAATTTCTCAAATTAATCTATGAGTTCAGTGCATTTCTGAATAAAACCCCACCAAGATTTTCCATAGGATTGTAAAAGACATTACAAATTTTAGAACAGAAATTCTAAAATTCATGTGAAAGAGTAAATATAAAAGGACAGCCAAAGACTTAGCAAAAAAGAACAAATAAACATTTATACATGTATAGATCATCAACAGGTGATACATATGCCATTTTAAATAAGTGAGGAAGGACAGTCTATTCAATACATCATGCAGACACTATTTGATGAACTATTTGGAAAAACTAAAATTGGAAAGATATATAATTTATACTGTCATGTAAAATGAAAAAAAGTTTTATTGCCAAAACAGAAGCACTATAATAGAGAAGGATTTGTCTAGAAGGTTAGAATTGGAAAGATCTTTTCAAAATAAATTTCCAAAAGAAACATGGATGAATGGACGGATAGAAAGACAGGTTTACCTACATTAATATTTATGACTTTTGTACAATAAAAACTACCTTAAGGGAAGTTAAAATGTAAGCAAAAAACAGGAGAATATATTGTAATGTATGTAATAGGCAATAATTTAGTATCTAGAATTTATTTATGACAAATATTTTAAAAATAAAATTCAAGACAAAATGGGCAAAAGTTTTGAAGAAGAAATTAACAGAAGAGAATGTGCAAACACCCAACAGATACATGAAAAATATTTAAACTCACTATTAATCAAGTTAAATCAACAGCAAGTCACAATATTTCATCCATCTGGTAGTATATTAGGCATGCATCTAGATGACTTCAAATTCCTTCTACTGTTTTATTCTTACTGTCTGATAAACCAATGGCTATTGAGAATTTACACAAAGAAGCTTTTACCATTCAACCACTGGGATCCACAACTACAGACACGCCTGCTGTTTGCTTTCTTCATTGCTTAGCTACAGGTCTTCCCTCTTCCAGATCCACATTAAATACTTCACTCTATGGCATAGGATGCTGCTTTCTCAGTGACCACAAAAAGGCCAGATGATGGACCTCTAAGTACAAGAGAATTACCTTCCTGCGGGGTGAATCTTGATGAGTTAAAAAAAAGGAAGTAAGAGAGAAACTTGTAGGTAAAATTTCCCTCCTTTGTCCCATTTGCTATGATACTTAAATCCACATGATATTTAAAAGAGTACACCTAGGGTAAGGAAATACCACAATACCTAAAGAGCTAAAACCAGCAGCCCTAGGCTTTCATAGTAAGCACAGGTATACATGTCATCCAAAAAATAAATTGTCAAAAATCAAGCGCTTAGACCGTGAGAAACTCTAATTGAAATAATAGCGGAGGAGAGTGTTCAAATTATTTCCAGAGCATCCTCATAAAAGACCCAGGCCGGGGATTGTAAACACAAACACAAACATACAAAACTGAACGTTAATTGTTTTGCTTCATTGCCATGCTTTCCTTCTAAACTCTCTCACAATGTTACTAAAAGTACTCTTTGATGTTTTAAGTGATCGATTTCAATGATTTCAACATTTTGTGACACATCTCAGCAAGATTAATAAATAATCCTAATGAAGGCAGAAGTTCTTTTCTTATAATGATCTGCATTGAAAATAAAATACAATGTTTATTCATCCAAAATTATTATTCTTCCTATGGACAATTTCTAGCTATGGCTCAGACTATTTTAATTTATACTAAGGGTGGTGCACCCACGCATATCTATGATAGTTTCACCCATCTGTCTGTTAAATACACATTTTTTTCTACAGGAATTATCTCATGATCTTTTCTAATTTTTCAGTAGTCAAAAAGCTATAAAAATTCAAAATTGTATATGATACATAATTATATATATGTGTATGTACAAACATATCAAATATATATAATTATATGTATATATAAGTATATGCACACATATATAAATAAGTTTATTACATATATAAAGTTGTTATTGTTTGATTTTGGTTCTCACCCTATGACAAATTCCTGGTTAAAAATAAAATGTTCAGAGTCGTAAGCATTTGAAAGGTTTTCTGTTACTGCAAGTCAAGTTCGTGTTTATCATAAAGTTGTTAATTGGAATAAAGATTTCATCCCTATATCCCTTAGCAAACATTTTCATTTACTAACACTTTCATTAAATCCTGAATAAATACTCTTAAGAACAGAAGTCATTATTAGAATATGGCCAATTTACTTGGCTATTATGGATATAACACTAATTTGTACTTTCATCCCCAAAAAGTTTATGAAAGATTCTTGTAATTGCATTGTTGCAACAGGGATTAAAGGAGTTTGCAGCTTATGTGGGGGCCAGGGCACCGGAATACAGGGAACACAGTAAAGCAATAAGTGATAGTGATTGACTCAGGTAAGCGGTGTGTGTGTGTGTATGTGTGTGTGTGTGTGTCCTTATCCAATGACCAAGATGTTTTCATGAATATTTGCTAGACTACTTTGATATAAAATTTAATGTAAACTAAATCTACTTGGCAAAGATTATCTAGGTTTTTATTTCCACATGTATCTTACCACTCATGGTAGTCTAATGCTCCTTCATCAAAGAAAAGGTCAAAATGAGATCATTTTATCAAGCATAAAACACTCAAATTTCTTTAGAATTTCCTTAGAATAAATGCAACCACATTTCCAGATAAAGACATAGATGATGATTTTCTCTTTGCATTACATTTTTCTCAGAAAGTTTTCTTTCAGGATTTCAGTAATAAAGGGCATGCAAATTAGGGGGAAAAAAACAACTTTATGTTGTAATCATATATTAAAAAAATTCATCTCTAGCTCTAATCCAGATGTGAGTTTCAGTAATTATTAAATATTTAGTCTCCTAGCATTTGTATATATAAAAATAATGTAATATGTGAGACAGTTATGCATAATAACTAAAGTGACCTGTTGAATATCATTAAATTCATTTTCATATAATTATTATTCCAATTTTATCACTGAATTTAGCTAGAGTGAATTAGTAGTATGAATTAATATTACTTAGGTCATTTTAATTTATATGTTAATATTGATATTTCTATTATTGCTATTTGGAATGAAAACAAATTAATCCACCGAACATTACCATAACATTTGTTAGGCTGCAAGCCTGCAGAGTTTGCTGATTACATTTTGCTTCTATAAAAATGTCATAAATATAATTAATAACAAGAGCACTCCATTGATACATTTCATTATCAAGTGATATTGCTACAATGAAAATTCCATGCTAGATGTCTACACAGTGTTGAGTTATATAAATTGCCCCTACTTGCCATCTTTAGTGTTAAATTAGTTATTGACATAAGAGGGCGGACACTGAGTGATTTCACACTGAGTGAATGAAGCTTTTATTTGTTATCTTAAAACAGCTCTACTACCTTGGTCATAATTGGAGCTTTATGACTTGATGACAAAATTATCAAATCCATTACCAAAACTGCCAAGGAAATGCAAAATTTATACTGTTTTCCTTGGGTTTTTTTCTTTCATGTAAGAATTCATTTTTATAACAATATTAGATGCCTCAGGCAAAGCATTTGAAGACAGTCATTGGGCCTCTCTGGCTGCTATGTAAGTACTTAACCTTTGGTCTTCTAATTTACTTTACCCCTAGAGGTATATTGGAAATCCAAAAAATGAAACAGTTTGAAATACCTGAATGTTAATGTGAGCAGATTTGTAAAATGAGAAAGAGAATAAAATATTGCCTATGTAAAGAGATTAGGATGCATGAAATCACCATTATAAATGCAGAACAACTTAAATATCTTCTCAAATATGTCAGTATGGAGACCCACAAGTTTTAACTAGTACATCTCTAATATCCAGAGGGATTTGTAAGGCATTTTAGGTACTCATCTGTGAGCAAGTTTGCAAGCAGATTTTGTTTACAAACAAACTTTTCATTTTACTGTCTCATTGAGAATATCAAGTTCCCAAGGAAAAAGTAAAAGCCCCCAGGCCAGGTATTTCAGTGTCTAGTAAGAATAAAACAAAATATACAATTCAATTTTAAAACGTCAAACAAAATACATATTATATTTATGTATCACAGTGTTTTACAAATAAAAACTGGAAATAGTAGTTTGGTAAGACTAGAGTTCAGGTTACGTGTGTATGCATTGGGGAGGAAGGAGGGAGGTGGCAGAATAAATAAAGAGATGAGAAACTTAGGTTCTGGACTTAACATTTTTTACACTGACATTTGAAAAACAGATTAAGAAATGATAAGTGATTCATAAAGGGTCACTAAGCTAACTGGTATCAGGTCTCTGTTGTTTTCATCAATTTCTCTTTATATATTCTTACATGTAGATTTAATGTTTTAATAATTGGCATTGATTTGTTGTGCTTTTTGGTAATGATTAATAATGTTATTATTTAGTGGATTTTATTTCAATAGCCATTGATAAGTAGATAATATAATTGGGGATGAAATACAGAAATTCAGCTAACATGCTATTATTTTCCTTAAGTTAAAATAAAGATTTAGAAAGTCACGAGAGAATATCATTCATATGCCGACATCAAAATAATCTACAAAACTATAACTTTTCTTGAGCCCATCAGGGATATGAGGTCAGGGGTCAACCAGATGAAATGAATTCCAAAGGCAGTAAACCCCTTCAAGGAGTGAGTAGGCACGTGAACTATTTCACCTTTGGCATTGCACAAGAAGAGGTGAGAGCCATAAAAGTAGGTAAGAGGAAAATAGGTAAAATTAAAATATATTCTTTAAAAATAAGTGTGGGCTAATGTGACTGTTTAGAATTTCTGAGAGCCCTAGGCACATGGGGAGTTCAATTGTGCTTGGAAGCTGTCTTTCAGACAATAGAAGAACCATAGATGACCGAATTACTGGGCATATCACAGTTGACCTTTAGAATACCTGTGATTTCTATATTCAAATAAATAGAGAGAAAGATGGACAATTTTACTAGAGAATTGAAACCTCTAAAAAGGAATCAAAAAGAAATTCTAGAATTTAAAATTGCAAATTGCAAATATTGAAATTAAGATGTCAATAGGTGGATTTAACGGGCACAATAGGCAGAGCAAAAAAGAAGATTAGAGAATTAGAAGAAGGTAGATAAATAGAAAATGCCCAATCAGAATCATGGAATGCTAAGAGAATGAAATATGCAGGAAAGATTGTAAAATATAATTGATATATGTGATAAAATCGCGCACGCGTGTGTGTGAGTGTGTGTGCGCGCATGCACGCAAATGTACCTCAGAGGGGTTAGGGACAGAACGAAAAAGTTTGAGCAACTATCAGGCTGCAATTTTCAAAACTGAAATAAGATATGAACCACAGATAAAACAGATTTATCTTGCTTGGAACTCAGGCAGAAAAAATGTACTCTCTTCCTTTTGCACTTCAGAGTAAAACTAAGGCACATAGACAAGAGAGAAAACGCAAGCGGCCAAAGAAAGCATATTACCCTTAAGGGAATAGCAGAGTTGTGACTGATTTTATAAGATATAGAAGCCTCAGGAAAATGGAATAACATTTTCAAAATATTGAAATAAAACACTGGACATACATCCCTATTTATTTCAAAATATTCTTCTAGTTTAAGATGAAATAAAAAAATTTTCAGGCAATCAACAATGAAATAATGCATTACTTTTTTTTCCTGAAGTAAACTAACACTAAAGAGCATTCTTCAGGTTAAAATAAAAGTATTATAAATAAATTATGGCAATGTAGAAAGAAAAGAAGAAAGGACAATAGGAAAGTCATATATGTAGGTAAATGTAAATAAACATTGACTATACAAAAGCAATAATATCAAATCTAGTAGAGTTTAAATATATGTAAATCAAATATGCAAGACAATAATAATACAAAATTTGGGAAAGTAGGAAAAAGCATTAAAAAGGCTCTGACACAGTGACTTTCTTTTTTTTTTTTTTCTTTTTTTGAGACACAGTCTCACTCTGTAGCCCAGGCTGGAGTACAGTGGTGCAATCTTGGCTCGCTGCAACTTCCGCCTCCTGGGTTCAAGCGATTCTCCTGCCTTAGCCTCCTGAGTAGCTGATATTACAGGCACACGCCACACCACCACACCTGGCTAATTTTTGTATTTTTAGTAGAGACAGGATTTCACCATGTTGGTCAGGCTGGTCTCGAACTCCTGACCTCGTGATCCACCTGCCTCGGCCTCCCAAAGTGCTAGGATTACAGACGTGAGCCACCGCACCTGACACAGTGACTTTCAATAGAATTGTCAGCATTATGTAAATATTCTATTTTGTCCTGTCCAATACGGTAGACACTAGTCATTTGTGCCTATTGAGCACTAGGATAATGACTAAAAAATAGAAAAGAATTAATCACTAACAAACCAATAGAAGATAAGTAAATACCAAAAGGTATTTAGTCCAAAGATGAAATAAATGATAGAAAAGGAAACAGCAAACTTAATAATATATAAAATAAATTGCAATAGTCATAAACATTAATAGGTCAATAATTATGTTAAATTTAAAATCACTAATTTCCTCCCTTTAGGGGATCAAATTGCAGAATCTCTTATTTGGCCGAGTACTAAAATGGCTTATTTATACATAATTTTTCTGAATTTTATTTAACTTAGAAAACCAGCCTTGGGATTCCAATAATATTGACAATCACAGTAATTATCTTTTCCTTTAAACACCAATGCTGTATTTTCTGTCATATTTTTATCACTTTATTATTCATATTTCACTCTCCCTTATATATACATATATACTATATATACACACACGTGTGTTTTATGCATATCTATATATACATATATGCATCTAAATGTATGTTTTTATTCTTAATTATGAAGCAGTATTGCCTTTTTGCATGTTGCTTTACTACTACTTTATGCATATTTGTATAATGAATAAATAGATTCCAATAATGCAATTAGCATCAATGTTTACAGATCAGAATAAAGCAAAATATGGTCATCATTTACACAATTCAGAATATTAGTGTGGGTTTGAGAAGTCACAAGCAATTTTGTTGCTGTTATTTAGAGACATTATAATATTACTCATACTTTTCAATTTAATACAGCTAGATAATATTGTTTGTGATTTTTTTAAGTACATAAAAGCCATTATGCTGTATTTTTTCTTAATAATAATTTCTGGCATTATTATAGTGCTTTACAGGCTTCAAAGAGCCCACAAGTATAATGTCTTATGTATTTGTCACCCAACCTCAGTAAGGAAAGAGATACGAATCTCTCCATTTCCTCAATGTCAAAGAGACAATGACATAATTAGGCCTAAAATTCTGATCACATAATTCTTTATATATTTATTCCTCTCTTTTCTATAATCAAATTTAGAACTAGAAAACAGAAATTAAAAGTTAAATAATCAGAGCTGGGTACAGTGGCTCACGTCTGTAATTCCACCACATTGGAGGGCGGAAGCGGGCAGATCGATTGAGCTCAGGAGTTCGAGACCAGCCTGGATCCACATGATGAAATCCCATCTCTACAAAAACACAAAAATTATCTAGGTTTGGTGGCAGGTGCCTGTAGTCCCAGCTACTCGGGAGGCTGAGGTGGGGAGATCATCTGAGCCCTGGAGTTCGAGGTTGCAGTGAGCCATGATTGCGCCACTGTATTCCAGGCCAGGTGACAGAGTGAGACTTTACCTCAAATAAATAAATAAGAAGAAGCAGAAAAGGGTTCTACTGCAAAATCAAGTAATCTGTTGAATTTTCAGTTAGAATATTCGCTTTAGAGCTGGAGATTTATATGAAAGAGCTGAATGACTGGGTGATGATTCTCTGTCAAAGAAAATTTCTAAATTCAAAGAGTACATTTTACTGATTTAATCTGTTGCATTTTTAAAAATAAAGTTGTGGATTTATATCTGATTAAGTGTGTAAGGAATCCATTGGAATAATTCTCCGGCCCCCAGTAGTTTTAGCATTTGGTTCCTCTTTCCTCTTGACTATACTAGTCAAGATTAACATTTGTGATTAACATTTCTACAAATTGATATCTAGGTGGTATAGATACAATAAACAAATAAATACATTTCTATATAATACAATAAACAAAAATACCAAGTAAATTATAATGGTCTGTGGTCAGCTACCACAAAGATATCTTTTAATTTATTCACATTCCAATAAACCACAAAGATATTTTAAGAACACAAATGTAAACAAAGTTTTTACAGTTTACTAATTATTAATAAACAGTAGTGTATATGTAACAAATCCATAATTTCCAACTCATCAAAATAAATTATTATGCAATATACAACCAGGAAACTGAGGCAGGAGAATCGCTTGAACCCAGGAGGCAGAGGTTGCAGTGAGTTGAGATCGCACAACTGCACTTCAGCCTGGGCGACAGAGCGAAAGAGTTACAGAGTAAGACTCCGTTACCAAAAAAAAAAAAAAAAAAAAAAAAAGAAAGAAAAAACAAGCAATGGCAACAAAAGCCAAAATTGACAAATGGGATCTAATTAAGCTAAAGAGATTCTGCACAGCAAAAGAAACTACCATCAGAGTGAACAGGCAACCTACAGAATGGGAGAAAATTTTTGCAATCTACTTATCTGACAAAGGGCTAATATCCAGAATCTACAATGAACTCAAACAAATTTACAAGAAACAAACAAACAACCCCATCAAAAAGTGGGCAAAGGATATGAACAGACACTTCTCAAAAGAAGACATTTATGGAGCCAAAAGACACAAGAAAAAATGCTCATCATCACTGGCCATCAGAGAAATGCAAATCAAAACCACAATGAGATACCATCTCACACCAGTTAGAATGGCGAGCATTAAAAAGTCAGGAAACAACAGGTGCTGGAGAGGATGTGGAGAAATAGGAACACTTTTACACTGTTGGTGGGACTGTAAACTAGTTCAACCATTGTGGAAGTCAGTGTGGCCATTCCTCAGGGATCTAGAACTAGAAATACCATTTGACCCAGCCATCCCATTACTGGGTATATACCCAAAGGCTTATAAATCATGCTGCTATAAAGACACATGCACACGTATGTTTATTGTGGCACTATTCACAATAGCAAAGACTTGGAACCAACCCAAATGTCCAACAATGATGGACTAGATTAAGAAAATGTGGCACATATACACCATGGAATACTATGCAGCCATAAAAAATGATGAGTTCATGTCCTTTGCAGGGACATGGATGAAGCTGGAAACCACCATTCTCAGCAAACCATCGCAAGGACAAAAAACCAAACACCACACGTTCTCACTCATAGGTGGAAATTGAACAATGGGAACACATGGACACAGAAAGGGGAACATCACACACCGGGGCCTGTTGTGGGGTGGGGGGAGGGGGGAGGGGGGAGGGATAGCATTTGGAGATATACCTAATGTTAAATGACAAGTTAATGGGTGCAGCACACCAACATGGCACACGTATACATATGTAACTAATCTGCACGTTGTGCACATGTACCCTAAAACTTAAAGTATAATATAAATAAATAAATAAATAAATAAAGATGTAGACGGGCCACTAGATGTTTAGCTAATTTAGGACTCTGACCCATTTAGATACAGTGAGGGCATACATAATGCTGGAGTGGACAAATTAAAATGTTTTTACCTAACATGACACAGGAACCATGTTTAACACCAATACCTTCATTCAACTTCCCCCCCTTCTACGCTCTGGCAAGATGTCTGTACCTTTTACAGAGCTGCATCTTGTGTGTTTTGTCATTGTTTTATTGAATTGACTTTGATATAAAACCAAGATTGTTATTTAAGAAAACGACGACGACAACGATATACACACACACACACACACACACACACACACACAATCCTTAGGCTCTTTTTGGTCATTGAAGGGAAGAAAGGGAAGAAGAAAGAAAGATGAAGGAAAAAGGAAGGGAGGGAGGGAGGAAATTATGGTAGCCTGCATAAAATAAGAATGCTTCTAAATTCACTGTTATTCCTGGTACTTGGATTAACTGTTCATGCTTGCTAAATCCCCAGGCCCAGGCCCAGACCCAGGCTTATTTTGATGACCAACATAATGTTCCTGGAACTTTTTTAAATAGAGGCTTTGCCACTATAGCAGGGCCAAGCAAATCACACCTATTGAGTTCACAGACAGGAAGGAAAAATGGAGCTTTGCCCCTTCATGTTCCAGATGAAGCCTGTTTTTACAGTCACATTCCCTCTGATGCTTTACATTAAGGACAATTATTTTTGCCATTATTACTTTTAAAATAATTTTTAATCACACATCTGTTCCTTTTGTTCTCTCAAAGAAATAAGCCCAAGGTTTCAAAATTTTAACTTCTAAAGTTCTAAAGTGGTTAAAAAGTTAATTAATTTAATGGGAACATAGTAGTGATTCTGTGGGTTATATTTTCTATTCCATATTAAAACTAGATAGTTAATAGGTCAAGCCTCTTAAAGTTCTAAAAAGGCCAATTTTTGTTAAAGGCAAGACTATATAATTACCATTTCAACACTACAGAAATATAGCAAAAGATTCCTCCACCATCATCAAATTTATATCTCCATTAAAGATGCTAACTTTTCATTTTGTCTTCACATTTGCAAAATAATTAGGCTCCGCCTTGAGGAGTCAACCATCCAAAGTCTTTAAGAATGGTTCAAACTTCTGTTTATGTAATTCTTCTGAGCACTTGTCTGATGGAAAGATGTAATACTGTGAAGAACTTAAAAAGATAAATGTAAATAATTTATAATGAGGAAATTTTAACAATTAATTTAAACCTAAACAATTTCAGTTTTGAATCCTGACTGGAAGACTGTATGCACACAAAGACAAATTCTCACTGTTTTAGTATACTCATCTTTAATATTAAGGGAGATTGCATAAGAAGTGTAACTTTATTTTGTAACCTTTTAAAATTATTAGAGCAACCTAAATTCCTACGAATCGCCACTTCCTGACACATTTGATTTCATGTTGATCCCTCCCTGCCCCCACTAATTAAGTAGATTTAAACACGTATACAACACATACACAACACACACACACACACACACACACACACACACACGGACTTGAAAAAATTAGTTGACTTGTTGCATGTCACACAGCTAACATGGTGGCCAAGTCTAATCTTGAATCTATATCACCATGTCTTCTAATTTCCTTATATTTCCATCATTCTAAAATTTCTCCTCAAAATAATTTTCTCTTACTGAAACCTTATAAGAAAAATTATAGTAATTTCTACTTTCTTTTGATTCAGTAATTCACAAACCATGTCCCCATTTAACTTGTATGTATAAAGGAGAGTCATATATCTTTTGAGAATAAGTTGGTGTTTTCAAAGATATTAACTTAGATCTAATGTTTTCTCTCCTCAATTTGTGTGTTTTTTCCACCATACTATACCATGCACTTTTAATAGTAATGAATAATAAATTAGCAAATAAGCTAAAGAATTTTATAAGGCAAAAACACATTTTTCCTTTGTCAATTATTTGAGAAGTTGTCCAAATTTCTGGTGTTAGAATATCTCAAGAAATAGCAATCAATAAGAAAAGAGAAGTATATATCATCAATTAGCCAATATTTTGAAATAGGTGCAAAGCCTTTTCTTTTTATTCTTTTTCCTTTTTTCTTTTTTTTTCTTTTTTTTTGTTTTTTTATTGAGATAGGCACAGGGTCTTGCTCTGTTACCCAGGTTGGAGTACAATGGTGTGATCATAGTCTCTGCAGCCTCAACCTCCAGGGCTTAAGAAAGCGATCCTCCCACCTCAGCCCCCACAGTAGCTGGGACTACAGGTGCACGCCACCATGCCAAGCTAATATTTTTGTATTTTTTATAGAGACAACGTTTTGCCATGTTGCCTGGGCTGGTCTCAAACTCCTGTGCTCAAGTGATCTGCCCACCTCCACCTCCCAAAGTGCTGGGATTACAGGCGTGAGCCACCACATCCGGCTTCAAGTGCATTTTTGATGCATTATAATTATCTTACAATTGATATTGAAACTGATAATTTCTAAATGTGTATTTGATTTATTTGATGATAGCAACAATGAATACATTGCATGTTAAAAAATATCCTAGTAATATTATGAAATTAGTTCTGATACAGCCAACTTCCTACAACCTGTCCAAAAAACGTAAGTTTGTTCCAGAAGATAGGACAATAAAAGCCAAAACAGAAGGAATTTCATTTGCTTTGGTTACAATATCTGAATATGAATTTACGAAATGTTGTAAGACAATAGCAAATTTTACTCAATTTTCATGGACTTATTTTCTTGTTCTCATAAGCTCAAAAATGACCCCCCAAAAGGTATCCAAATCTGAATCCCCAGACCCTGCAAATGTTACCTTCTATGGCCTTCTATGGCAAAGAGGACTTGCAGGTGTGATGAATTATTAGTCAAAAAGCAGAAGGGTTCATGAGCATGCTAACCAGAGATCTAGTGGAAAAAGAATAAATTACAGAGGACCTGATGAACTGATAACAACCACAGTTTTGTTTGGAATGTTATTGGTATTATTATAACAATCTATTTTCTAGATATATAAGAAAGCCCTTTCTCTTCAGTCTTAAGCTGTCTATAACTCACAACAATTTAGAATACTTTGATTTTGTAAACTGAAATTAAATATTTGCAAATGATATCTCATTCTGCCTACCTAACCACACTGATTCTTCTGCTTCCCAGAATTCAGAAATTATAATTTAGTATTTTTCCTTTTCATGGCAATTTACAAATATTGAATAAAAACATTTCTTCTTTTTTGTGGTAATTGGAAAAATTGGTGAAGCAATCAAAGCCTTGCCTGGATGGTGTATTTGAGAATGGTGCTTAGTTTATCAGATCATCAACCACTTTTAAGGGACTAAGATTAATTTTATGAAGTGAAAGTGTATAACACTGTCCCTGGAAAACTGGCCTGGCACCTGTCTTACAAGATCTGGCATTACAGATAGCAAAGGAAGGTCACTTTCTAGCAGGTCAGAGACTTTGGATTATTTCAGCAACCTCAAGAAGACAGGAATTTGCCTAAATTGATAGGTACTGCAGGTGAAATCTGGTTAAGCAGTTTTTTTCTTTTTTAAACTTTGTTGATGTATAGTTGTTATACAAAAATTTGCACATATTTAATGTATACATTTTGTTGCATTTATATTCATGCATACATCCACCACCACAATGAAGACTCTAAACATATCCATAATCGCCAAGATTTCCTTATATTCATTTGTGTTTTGTTTTGCTTGTGATGGGAAAACTTGACATGAAATCTATCCTCAACATATTTTAAAGTGCTAAATACAATACAGCCATCCCACGGTATCCTGAGGGGATTGATTCCAGGACCACCATAGACACCAAAATATAAGAGTGCTTAAGCCCTTTATATAAACAAGCATCATATTTGCATATAACTTATGCACATTCTCCTGTACACAGTCATATGTCACACAATGACATTTCTACTGACCACATACAGTGGTCCCATAAGATTATAATACTGTATTTTTATTATAACTCTTCTATGTTTAAATATGTTTAGATACACAAATACCATTGTGCCTACAGTATTCACTACATTAACATGCTGCACAGGTTTGTAGCCTAGTAGCAATAGGCTATACTATCTAGTCTAGGAATGTAGTAGACTATACCATCTAGGTTTGTGTAACCACACTGTGTTTTCACAGTGATGAAATCACCTATCAATGCATTTCTCAGAATGTATCCTTATCATTAAGCAATGCATGGCTGCATTTCAAATCACCTCTAGATTACTTGTAATACCTCATTCCGTGTAAATGCTATGTAGATAGTTGATGTACTGTAATTTTCAGGGAATAATAACAAGAAAAATGTTTGCACATGCTCAGCATAGATGTAATTTTTTAAAATATTTTCTGTCAGAGGTTGGTTGAAACAACGGATGTAGAACACATGGATACAGGGGCTGACAGTACTTTAAATCATGTCTAGATTCCTTACAATACCAAACACAATATAAACACTGTGTAAATAATTGTTATACTGTATTATTTTTATTATATTATTTTTAATTTTTGTATTATTTTAATTAAAAAAATTTAAATCCATAGTTGATTGAGTCTGTGGATGCAGAACCCACAAATGGGGAGGGCTAACTGTATTGTTAATTATAGGTACTATGTTGTACAACAGATATCTAGATTTTATTCATTTTGTATAACTAAAACTTTATACCCATTAAGCAATGATTCCCCATTTCCCCTTGATATGGTTTGGCTATGTCCCCACCCAAATCTCATTTTGAATCGTAGCTCCCATAATCTCCACATGTCTTGGGAGAGACCCAGTGGGAGGTAATTACATCATGAAGGTGGGTTTTCCCATGCTGTTCTCATGATAGTGAATAAGTCTTACCAGATCTGATGGTTTTATAAAGGGCAGTTCCCCTGTACATACTCTCTTCCCTCCTGCCATGTGAGACGTGCCTTTACTTCTCCTTCATCTTCCACCATGATTGTGATGCCTCCCCAGCTGTGTGGAACTGTGAGTCCATTAGACCTCTTTTTCTTTATAAATTACCCAGTCTCGGGAATGCCTTTATTAGCAGTGTAAAAATGGACCAATACACTCCTTCCCCTCAGCCCCTGACAACCACAATTCTATTCTCTGCTTCTATGAATTTGATACTTTAGAAACTTCAGTAAGTGGAATAACTGGTTCTGTCATGATAAGTTTAATAAAATCTTTAACTTTATTTTATATCCGTATAGAAGTCATGATTTTATCTTTTTCTGAAAACAATTTATAGCAAATGCCTTAATACCCCTGTTGTGCTCAGACATGGAATGAGAGCAGCTCACAGAGTGCTTGGCTTTAGCAGGAGCACAGTGAAGGAACAAGAGTGCCAACAACAGAGGCCATCAGTCCATTATGCCTCTAGCAGTAAGAGATCTGAGTAGCATATTTTCATGGCCACCAAGCTATATAAATATATTTATGTAAATGAGTTTCTTCCATTATAAAATGCTTAAAATGTGTCATATTTCAAAACCCAAGTTAAAATCCTAATAACCTGCTATTAACCTAAAATAAATGAGAAGTATAACAGGAGAATTTCTAAGTATTATATACAAAATATCTATTGAGGTATTACTAAATGTATGTTATACAAACTAAATAAATGTTATTTTCTTTTAAATAAGTTAGGAGAATGTAAAAACAATGTACATTTTCTGTCTATATCCAGCTTTAAAATAATTAACTATATTTCCTCAAAAATATAGAGAGATTACAATTATTTCTACAATGGTGGTGTTTCTGTTGACTGTACTATAGACAGTCTATAACAATATTTTGACAGTTATTATCAGCATGACAATTAATTTTACAGAATATTTTGCCTATTGCTGCCCCATATAACCAATTTCCTACAGCTGAAATCCAAAATGAATTTTTTCTTTACTGATAAAGTGGCTGAAAATTTTTAAGAAAAATGAGAGTACGTTTTTATTTTTTAGAAGTGTGGGAGAATGTATTGCCTCTCCTGAGATTCAATTTTAATTCATGGACCAAGATAATATTAACATAATCATGTTAACATAGAAGTATACTTTTCATTTTAAGTCCTTTGTGTATATCAGAAATGTGCATCTGAAAGAGATATTTTATCAGTAAAATATCAACTTTTAAAAGAACTATCGTATTTTTAAGAGATTGAGAAAAGTAATTATATAGAAATATACAAAAATGGTACATAGCTAGACAAATCATTCTGTTTTAATAATAGATTCAGCCTGATCATTACATCATTTAAAGAGAAATACAAGCAGTTTACAATGGGAATTCCACTTAAGCCTATGTCATGACTTAAGCCTATGGCACGCCTTAAGCCTATGGCACGGCTTCCAGATATTTTCTTCCATTAGGAATAAGTATGAAAGCCAAATAAAATAGCAGAAAAAAGCTTTTTGTAAGCATTAACAATTGTACTACAGCTATGCTGAAAACAATAATCTAAACCCCTACCATACAGTATATACAAATATCTATTCCAGATAAATTACAGAACTCAATGGGAAGGATTTAAAAAGCTTCTGGAAACTTTCATGGTTAAATATCCTCATGAGTTTGTGATATGCAAAGACTTCCTAGTACATAAAAAGCAATAATTATAAAATAAATAACCCATAAATTGGATTTTGCTAAAATTAAAGACTTCTGTTTATTATAACCATTCAAAGAGTAAAAGACAAGCCACAAGTGGAAAAAGAAATTTGCTTTAACTATATCTGACTAAGGATTCATATCCTATATATGTAAAGGATTCTTACAAATCAGTAAGAAAAAGACAAAGAATACAATTTTTAAAATGATCAAAGGACTGGAATGGGCACTTTATAAAAGAGGATGCTCTATGCATAATAGACAGGAATGAAAACGTGCAAATCTTCAGTAGTCTTTAGCAAAATGCAAGTTAAAATTATGTATAACCTTCAATTACAAATTCAGAAAAAACACCTATATTAAAAATACTGATAAAACCAAGCATTGTCAGTATTTATGTGCAACTATCATGTATTGTTGGTGGGAGGGTAAATTTCTGCAGCTTTGGAAAATTCTTTTGATGTCTACTATGTACTAAAAATGTGAACAGAATTGTTCTTAGCAGTGCCTTTTTGGAATAGTTACCAACTGGAGAGCCCAAATATTCATCAACTATAGAATGTTGTCATATTTGCATACAACGAATACTTTACTGCAATGAGAGGGAATTAATTTTGCTACAGTCAAAAAACATAGATAAGTCTCTAAGACATAATTTAGAAAAATAGATATAAAAATCAAAACAATCAAACTCAATGGAGATATAGAGTAGAAGAATGGTTACCAGAGACTGGGAGGGTAATAGGAAGGTGGGGAGGAGGTGGGCATGGTTAATGGGTACAAAAAATATACAAAGAATGAATAAGACCTAGTATTTGATATCACAACAGGGTGACTATAGTCACAATTTAATTGTACATTTTAAAATAACTAAAATAGCATGATTGGATTGTTTGTAACACAAAGGATAAATACTGAGAGAGAGAGAGAGAGAGAAAGAAAGAAATACCCAAGACTGGGTGACTTATAAAGGAAAGGGGTTTAATTGAGTCACCATTCCATATAGCTGGGGAGGCCTCAGGAAACTTACAATCATGGCAGAAGGCAAAGGGGAAGCAGGCACCTTCTTCACAAGGTGGCAGGAGGGAAGTGAGAAGAGGGTAGGGGAAACTGCCATTTATAAAGCCATCAGACCTCATGAGAACTCACTTACTATCACGAGAACAGCGTGGGGGAAACCGCCCCCCATGATCCAATCACTTGTCTCCCTCGACCGTGGGGATTACAATTCAAGATGAGATTTGGCTGGGGATACAGAGCCAAACCATATCAGCCACTGTCAATTTTTTTCTCACCAATATTATAACAAAACAAATGAAAGTATGTTATTTGAAGACATGCTGTAACTTATTAATGTTCCAGATTGTGTTTATTTTCTTGAGAAAAGACCATATAAAAAGGACTTTAAAAATTTGTTTAAAAAAAGCTTTGTGTTACTAGTTTGAAATAAGACCCAAAATGTGGCTGTCAGCAATTTAGATATTTTCTTCTGGGAGAAAAAATCATGAGCCATTATTTTTTACTAGTACCCAGTCCATAAATGGGCACAATATTAATTACTATCACCCTTAATAGTTAAGGTGCGATAAAAGGGCATGACAGCATAGGACCAAAGCGTGAAACTCCACATGGCAAAAAGCCACTGGGTGCCTAATGGTCTAATGGAAAAGAAGATGGAGAACAACCAAAATCAAATTTCCCCTGCTTTACATTTGTCTTATGAGTAGAAGGACGTGGTATTTAGCATATTATATCCTTGAAATGTACTAAACAATTATAATAGCAATAATAATGACATGCTGGATAAAGGTACGATTATCAATGGTTTCTAATGTTGAAAGATGATGGTATAACACTACTAATAAAGTAGTATTGAAAAAAATAAATCAACCCTGAAACTAAATTTTAAATCTAACTACCAATTTGCAGGAAATACAGAGAACATTATGTGACATAAAAGGGATCCAATCAAGCAAACTCAAACAACACTCCAACATTCAATGCAGCATTCATTATTCACAATAGCCAAGACATGGGATAAACCTAAGTGCCCATGAAAACATGAATGGGTAAAGAAAACATAGTATATATACACAAAGGAATACTATTCAGCCATGAAAAGAATGAAACCCTGTCATTTGTGCAACATGGATGACATGGAGAACATTATATTAAGTGAAATAAGCCAAGCAAATACTGCATGATCTCACTCATATGTGGAAACAAACAAAAAAAAAAGTGTTGATCTCATAGAAGTAGAGAGAAGAATGGTAGTTACCAAAGGCTTGTTCTGGGGAGAGGTTGGACAAAGGATACAAAAATTCAGTTAGACAGGAAGAATAAGTTCAAGAGACCTATTGTACAACATGGTAACTGTAGTATATGATGTATTGTATTCTTAAAAATGCTAAGAAAGTGGGTGTAAAGTGTTCTCACCATAAAAATGATATGTGAGGTAATGCATATGTGAATATGCTAGATTTAGTTATTTCACAATGTATACGTACTTCAAAACATCATGTTGTACACTGTAAATATATACAATTTATGTCATTATAAAAAATTAAATTTAATTAAAAAAAAACAGTGGCACAAGGGATTTTCTGGGAAGTAGCCTCTGAAATGGTATTTAGTGGGCCAAATGTGTATTAAAGAATCCCCTTGAGATCCATACCTATGGAAGAGAGGGAAAGGAAGCAGGGTTGGTCAAATGGTAAGTTATGTGCTATGAGGCATGCCAGACAACCCTAAAGACAGTTCCTAAGCTGAAGCTGCTTGTCAGAATTGTCCTTGTTGAGCCAAATGGCTAGGCTATTCTAACCTCCGTTCAGTCACTGGAGGTGGGTTGCTCTGAGAAGGTGATCTTGGCTGAAGCAGCTCTCGACAGTGGAGCAATCCCTGAAGAACCAGACAGTCAAATGCTGTCTACTGACAGCACTCACAGCAGCTGGGGCAAGTCTTCCCTGGAGGGTGAACCCGGAAGACACATGACCATGTCCACAAGGAAACAAAAAATAGGCTCAAACAAGATGCTATTTATAATATCGGTTATATGTCCCAAGAAATTATGATACTTTGTTCTAAATAAATATTTTTAAAATTATTTTTATTGTCAATACATCAGATTGTGGTAACTATCTGAGTTGTTTTGGGGTTTTTACATGTTTGGTACTGAAAGAGGAAGATTTGTTTTTGTTTTTCCCCTAATACAAACCCCTTTCCTATATATGCCAAGGTGAGGTTAATATAATTGCATTCTGGGACCATAAAATTTTCACATCAAAGCATTTAAATACTCTCAAAATATTCTGGCATTATTTTTTAACTGAATTTTAATGATTTAGGAATGAATACATATAAATGAATTATCTCAAACATGCTATATTATTTTGCTATCTTATTAAAATCTATCTGCAAATTTTATATTGGAAATACACTTTTATGTTGCTAATAATATTGTAAATTGGCCTAAGGCAATTTGATCATTCACAAGTAAGACTATATTTTGGTAAATATATTTTTCTTCCAATAGAGAAGATTGGGACTATCTGCCTTTAGAAGCAGCCAAACAGAAAAACAAATACAGCATGCTCTCATTTACAAGTGGGAGCAAAATGATGAGAACACATGAACGACAGCAAAATGATGAGAACACACGAACACCTAGAGGGGAACAACACACTCTGGGGCCTACAGGAGGGTGGAAGGTGGGAGGGAGAGAATCAGGATAAATAATTAATGGGCACTAGGCTTAACACCTAGGTGATGAAATAATCTGTACAACAAACCCCCATGACACATTTACCTATGTAACAAAGCTATACATATACCCCTGAACTTAAAATAAAAGTTAAAAAAAATCAGTAAACAAAATCTGTGGCCACCCCAGATTTGGAGTTGTTACCAAGTAAACTGTTTCAACAGCTGCAAGTCCCAGATGGATTCTTAACATACTTATAATTCTGTCTGCAGAATTTATTAGGTTGGTGCAAAAGTAATTGTGGTTTTATGGCAAACCCGCAATTACTTTTGCACCAACATAACACTTAACTATGACCAGAAACAGTGATTTTTAAGTCAATTAATATCTTTGAAAGTAATTTAAAAATTTATAATATTTAATGGGCAGTGAAATACTAATTTTTCTTACAAAATTCAATATTCTAAAAATACTAGTATAAAAGCAGTAGTAATGTGAGGAAATCTAGAAGATTCTATTCAAGATAAATTTATTGCAAAGAATGGAATTCTATGTTATAATTGGATCCCAGGTATATCAAAGTGTGTATAATTATTGAGTAGATTATTTAAGAAATCTGAAAAGATTAATGTGAAAAAGTGATGATAATTGATATTCACAACATATCACACTATAAATGCTGAATTCCAGATAATATGCATAAAAAGAGGAAAATATTTTTAAATGATGAGAAAGCTAGTATGAGGAAAGACAACTCTTTATTTGGCAACATCAGAAATGTCAACAAGATGAAATAGAATGTTGCATCAAGCCATTCAGAAAATAGACATAGGCCAGGGATAATGAAGTACATGGTACATATTGTTAGGAAGAGTTTTCTAAATGGTGATTTCCCTGCCACCATTTTAACTCAAAAAACACCTCTTAGCATCCTCCTTGTGTTTGCCTCCTATTTAGGGGTCTCAAACAGGACTAACTCAAATATGTATAACCACATACAAGACTTTTCAAGGCTTCTACTTGAACAAACAACTAAACCATCATTCACAAGGAAGGAGAATTCCTCTCCCATTTTCTTTGATCCCTGACTGTTTATAGAGATGCAGCTTCAGCAAGGTTTCAGCACTAGAAAAATATTTTGGCTTCATCTGGGACTTTGATTCTACTTAAAAACAGGCAGTTGCCCTCATATTGTCACCCCTGCCCTACATGCACACTCTACCCCTTCAAGTGTGAAGAATGATCTATTTAAGAGAGAGGGAAAAAAGAAAAATAGATGTTGTGCAGTTCTGCCTGCAATTTTAATCTAAAGTAGACTCAAGAAGTCTAAAGACCAAATTGGTAATTTTGAAAAATGCTAAAAGCAACAAAATGTGCTTTGCAGATATAGAAGTAATAAGATGGAAAAAGGAAGAATGGGACAAATGGTTGGGGAACATATTGTATATTAGATTTTTCGGAATCCACTATTTGTTTCTGAGACTTCCTGAGGCTACCCTTAGAGATATATAAAATTAAAAAATATTTATCAACATTTATATATCCCTCTTTGTAAAATTTGAACATTTTCTTTCACCGTTTGAGGTTTAACAAAACTGATGTCTAGACTAGCACAATAATACCTCATGACTTCCTTATTCTATCTCTTTTAATTTTTCACAAGTGCAGTTTGTATTATATTTTAGAAACTCTCTTTATTCCCTAAAACAAAACAAAACAAAACAAAAAACAGCCCAACATAATTTTTATCCCTGTCACTTTATAGGTAAGCTGTTTTCCCTATCCCCTCTGCTTTCTTTCAAAATTTTCTCTCTGCCCCTTTTTTTTGTTTGTTTGTTTTTGAATAGGATATGCTCAGGTATAGATTTTGGAGGGTTTTTTTTGTTGTTTTTTGGGGGTTTTTTTGTTTGTTTGTTTTTGAGACGGAGTCTCGCTCTGTCACCCAGGCTGGAGTGCAGTGGCGTGATCTCGGCTCACTGCAAGCTCTGCCTCCTGGGTTCACACCATTCTCCTGCCTCAGCCTCCCGAGTAGCTGGGACTACAGGCGCCCACCACCACGCCCAGCTAATTTTTTGTATTTTTAGTAGAGATGGGGTTTCACCGTGTTAGCCAGGATGGTCTTGATCTCCTGACCTCATGATCCACCCACCTCGGCCTCCCAAAGTGCTGGGATTACGGGCGTGAGCCACCACACCCGGCCTAGATTTTGTTTTATATTTATTACTTGATTATCTCTAAGCTTCCTGGATCTGTTGTTTAGTGTCTTTCATTAATTTTGGAAAATTCTTAGCCATTAAAACCTCAAATATTTCTTCTGTTCCTTCCTCATTTTCTTCCCTATGTTACATCTTTCTAATTGTCACATCCACCCAGTTCTTAAAATGATCTGTTTAGTGGGTGTTTTCTCTAATATTTTTTCTCTTTGCGTTTTAGTTTAGGAAGTTTCTATTGACATATCCTCAAGCTCACTTATTCTTTTCTTGGCTGTATGCAGTCCAGTGCTGAGCCCAGCAAAGGCATTCCTCATTTTTGTTACAATGTTTTTGATTTCTAGCATTTTCTTTGATTCTTCATAGAGTTTCCATCTCTCTGCTTACATTAACTGTTTGTTCTTGCATGTTGTCCACCAAGATTTTCAATAACCTTCTCTTGCTCCAGTTTGCAGGGAATTGTTTTGTTTGGTAACCTCAATTCTCTCGTGAATCAAGAAAAGTTGTTGGTTTTCAGGTTTTTTTTGTTTTTTTTTTTTTTTTAGCTTTTTTCTTGCTGTAAGGATAGGAGTAATGAGACTGGTTCAAGACCAGATTTTTAATTGCATTAGTTAATGCAATTAATGCTCATTAATTGGAACAGATACTGCATAATCACCCATTTTAGACTGCTATGGTTTGAATGTTTGTGTCCCCTCCAAAATTCCTGTTGAAACGTAATTCTCAATGCAACAGTATTAAGAAGTGGGACCTTCAGGAAGTGATTAGGCCATAAGGGTTCTGGCCTCATAGATGGATTAAAGTCGTTATACAAGGGCTGAGGGAACTAACTGGCTCTTATGCCCTTCCATTTCTTTCACCATGTGAAGACATGCTGTTTGCTCCCTCTGGAGGGTGCAGCACTCAGGTGCCATCTTAGAGCAGAGATGGGGCCCTCACCAAACAACAAACACTAAACCTGCTGGCACCTTGATATTGAACTTCCCAGCCTTCATAACTGTCAGAAATAAATTTCCATTCTTTATAAATTACTCAGTCTCCAGTATTTTATTTTAATGGCACAAACCAAGGCAGGCATTTAATTCACATATAATACTATGTTATACATGAATATATTCTGTTTGAGGTCTGATACCTCAAGGACAGTTACCATTTCTTATATGTTTTTGTGCTCCTTCAAGCTCTAACACGTGGATGTGCATATGTTAGCTGCTCAGTTAGCATGGTTGCTTAATTATTTAATAAAATATATCACAAATCCTCAAATCTAAAATATATTATGCCTCAGTAATGTGACCTTGAGTTTAGTTAGTGTTCTCCACTCATAAAATACTCCCAATGTTTTGGTCACCTGAGGCCACATCATTTCTCTATTTTCTTGAAGAATAGTAACTAGATATATTCATGGATACATTTTTCTTTTTTTTCTTTCATTTCTCTTTTTAAATGGAGTCTTGCTCTGTCACCAAGGCTGGAGTCCAGTGGTGCTAACTCGGCTCACTGCCTCCCAGGTTCAAGTGATTCTCCTGCCTCAGCCTCCCGAGTAGCTGGGATTACAGGCACGTGCCACCATGCCCAGCTAATTATTGTATTTTTAGTATAGACAGGGTTTCACCATGTTGGCCAGGCTAGTCTCAAACTCCTGACCTCAAGTGATCTGCCCACCTTGGCCTCCCAAATTGCTGGGATTACAGGCGTGAGCCACTGTGCCCAGCTGACATTTTTCTAATATATAGAGAATAACTGCTAATATTTATTAGTTACTGATTATTTGTCAGGCCCTCTTCTAAGTGTTTCATATATATTTGCTCATTAATTGTCACAACAACCCTGCGAGGTAGGTATTGCTATAATTATTATGGATTGAGAAACTCAGTAACTTGCCAAATATCAAGCTGCATACCGGGAGATCCGGCTTCAGAGCCTAATATCTTGACTACCTTATTATGCTGCCTTCTGATTCAATGTATCCTGATACACTTGACTATATCAAATACACATCTAGTATGGTCTTCTCAAAAAGGAATAATCTTTTCCACTGCTAAAATATCCTGAATGAGATCTTGCTGCATACTGTCCCACAGCAGTCTCTTCTAATAACAACCTGGAAACCCTACCAGCAGGTCAACCCTTGCTCTCTTCTCTTGTAACTGTGCTCTGCTGCTTCCACATAGGATCCTAAATCCTTCAGCTGAGGTCATGCCAATGTCACTAAATGAAAAACCACTGACTACTTAGAGGAAGTAATTTGTTATCATGACTGTAAATTCGTGTTTCTCCAACTCGTATTCAATCAAACTCCATATTACCTAAACTAAAGGATGTTTAACTATTAGCAAGGCCTGGAATCATGGCTGCCACAGATTGTCTGTGCAGTGAGATGTCAGAGAGGGAAATAGTCACTCCATATTTCTCTATGTACTCTACAGCCATGACACTCAAAGTGGGCTCTGGACACCAGTAGCATAAGTGTTACTTGGAATCTTACTATAAATGAAGAACTTCAGACCCCCCAAGACCTACTGAATCTTCATTTTACCAATATCTCAAGTAATTTGAATGCTTTGAGAAGCACTGTTCTACTGACTATACCTGAAGGAGATCTTCAGTGGTCCCTTGCAGCATGGAACACATCCAGCATTCGCTTCAAGTAAATGAGTTAGGTTATAAGGGTTGTCACCAAAATTTTTGACCATGTACCACAATCAGCGTAATTTTTTAGCATAAATGACTGGTTTCTGAAGATTTCTCATAAATTAGATATATATGTTATTATAATATTTTGTACATTATAAAAATATGCACTAAGTAGAAATGGAAAAGAATGAGATAAAGATAAGATAATAAATAATATTTTAATATTTTAAATAGTTAATTTTAATGGGACTAAAATATTTTGCTTTCACTAAAATAATGAATAATTATATTTAAATATTTGCATTATATGCATTTATACTTATAGGATAATATGTGTGCTAAATGTAAGTAAATATTCAGAACTTTTAAAATTACTTGTTTAAAATTGTGATGCAGCCATTGAAAAGTATGATTCTAAATTCAGGTTATTTCTACACTTAATTTAATGACTATTATATCTGAGAAATATAAGTTAAAAATATACAACAGATACAATATGCAAGATATATTTGTGGAAAGAAAAATGTATCATGATAATAGGTATAAATCTCTATATTTCAAAGCATCTTAACCACTTATGTTGAACGGTTGTTGTAAAATTGATTAGGGCCGGTTGCAGTGGCTCATGCCTGTAACCCCAGCACTTTAGGGTGACTGGCTTGAGGCCAGGAGTTCGAAACCAGCCTGGCAAACATGGCATAACCCCTGTCTCTACTAAACATACAAAAATCAGCCGGGCGTGGTGGCACACGCCTGTAATCCCAGCTACCCAGGAGGCTGAGGTACGAGAAAAATCACTTGAACTCAGGAGACGGAGGTTGCAGTGAGCCGAGATCGCGCCACTGCACTCCAGCCTGGGTGACAGAGTGAGACTCTGTCTCAAAATAAATACATAACTAAAAAATTGATTGTTAGTATTTTTAGACTACACCCTGGCTAATGAAAAACATTGCTTGGAAGAGAAGTGTGCCATCTGCCCTTTTATTTTTATTTATTTGTTTTTGCATTATTAGTACTACCCTCAGTGTGAGGTCTTTTTATATGAAATCTTTGAAATCATTTGTTGATTTTATATATGTATAAATCCATCTACTAGAACATCTGTAAACTGTAATATATGCAAGATATTGAAATCAAGTGAACAAATGTGGGTTTTACCCCTGTCTCCAGGCTGGGGAGTTTCTGCCCTCTTATTTCAACTTACCTCACAGTGTGAGATACGTATTCACCTGTAATTATGCATGCAGTGGGCTTGACAGTGTTCCTTCATACATTTTATAGTAGTGGGATTTAGTTTACTTCTTAAGTTCTTTTAAATGAATATAAATGGAAGCTCTGATAGATTATTTTACCTTTCAATACCCATCCCATTTTTAAGACACTAGGATGAATTGGCAGGGATAAATGGTTGATCCTGTATTATATAATACAGGCAGCCAAATTGGCAAACCTGATACATAAATCTAATATGCAGATCATGTCCTTGTGCATAAATATCAAGTAGTTACATGAGTGACTGACAACAAAATTTCCCACCAAAAAAAAAGAGTATAGAAAGAAAATGCTTAGGAATTGTGATCTGTGGGAGCATTTTTTTGTATTATTGAAAAATGTGATTATTATGTATTAAGTAAGAAGAAGAAACACCCTAATCTATATGTGCAGAATCTTCACTGGTCTTTTCTGATCTTGCTTTTTGTGGGACACATATTGCCAGCACAGATGATGTACTGAACAGACAGAAGCTGGTGGTCAATTTTGGGTTTACTACGAACCCCTGGATTCAATGGCTCTACATTTCTTTATTTCCCAGTGTGTACAGGGATAAAATTAATGGTGTAGGACTAATGCTAGCACAAATTTCTAGTAACTACTTGGCTACTTGCAAGCTGGTCATCACTATATATTGGGTTTGCTCACCCCAACTCCCTTTCTTACTATCCACCAGCAACTATTTCTTTATGACTTTATGTTTCATGAGAGAAACACAGCAAACTTTTAACAAATTCATGGAGTTTTCTTCTACACTCCAGATGGTTGATGTGTGCCAGGTTTGAGAAATCCAGTAAATCAATGGATGCATGCTGCTAAATATGTCCTCAATCTTTCCCCTACAGAATGACCTTGAGGTTTTTATGTAAAAACTGGTCATAATTTACAAGGTACTCAATCAAAGAGAAAGAAGTTTTTATCCTACCAATTAGAGTTTATGCTTTTGAAACTGTAAAATAAACAAAACTAAATTATGAGAGAAATATCTCTACAATTAAAAAAAAAATGTAGCTAGTGCTTGTCCCTGGTGTAGTAGTGGTGTTTTAGTGCAATAGCATCACCCAGCTAGATTTTTTAAAAACTAGTTTCAATAGTATTGATACAGAAGGGAAGTGCTGGGAAGGGAAGGGCATGTTCCTTTTAAATGCTACAGAAGGGAGAAAGGGAAGTGTGGAGTAGAGGAGGGCGTGGTCCCTGGCTAGGGCTCCACACCCGGGGCCTGTGCCCATGGACCTAGGTGAGGACAAGGGTTTTTGTTTTCCTGCCCAAATGTTGTATTTCCCAAGACCTCCTCTGGCCTGCTGTGCCCCTATCCTGTGCCTATAAAATCCCCAAGACCCTTGCAGGCCGACACACAAGCTGCTGGACGTCAAGAGGAACACACAAGCAGCTATACGTCCAGAGGAGCACACCAGCATAGGAGAACACCTGCACGCTGGCAGGCCATCGACTGGCAGACCAACACAGAGTTTGACTGGGGCAGAGGAGACCCTGGGCCGCTGAGAGGCCCAACTCCAGGGGAAAACCTTCCTACTCCATCCCCTTCTGGCTTCTCCCGTCTGCTGAGAGCTACCTCCATTCACTAAAACCTTGCACTCATTCTCCAAGCCCAGGTGTGAACTGATTCTTCTGGTACACCAAGGCAAGAACCTGGGATACAGAAAGCCCTCTGTTCTTGTGACAAGGCAGATGGTCTAATTGAGCTGGTTAACAAAAGCCACCTATAGACGGCAAAACTAAAAGAGAACACGGTAGCATATGCCCACTGGGGCTTCAGGAGATGTAAACATTCACCCCTAGACACTGCCATGGGGTCGGAGCCCCACAGCCTGCCCATTTGCATGTTCTGCTAGAGGTCTGAGAAGCGGGACACTGAAGAAGCAAGCCACACCCCCATCGCACATCCTGCGAGGGGGACAAGGGAACTTTTTTTTAATTATACTTGAAGTTTTAGGGTACATGTGCACAATGTGCAGGTTTGTTACATATGTATACATGTGCCATGTTGGTGTGCTGCACCCAGTAACTCGTCATTTAGCATTAGGTATATCTCCTAATGCTATCCCTCCCTCCTCCCCACACCCCACAACAGGCCCCAGTGTGTGATGTTCCCCTTCCTGTGTCCATGTGTTCTCATTGTTCAATTCCCACCTGTAAGTGAGGACATGCGGTGTTTGGTTTTTTGCCCTTGCGATAGTTTGCTGAGAATGATGGTTTCCAGCTTCATCCATGTCCCTACAAAGGACATGAACTCATCATTTTTTATGGCTGCATAGTATTCCATGGTGTATATGTGCCACATTTTCTTAATCCAGTCCATCACTGTTGGACATTTGGGTTGGTTCCAAGTCTTTGCTATTGTGAATAGTGCCACAATAAACATACGTGTGCATGTGTCTTTATAGCAGCATGATTTATATTCTTTTGGGTATCTACCCAGTAATGGGATGGCTGGGTCAAATGGTATTTCCAGTTCTAGATCCCTGAGAAATTGCCACACTGACTTCTACAATGGTTGAACTAGTTTACAGTCCCACAACAGTGTAAAAGTGTTCCTATTTCTCCACATCCTCTCCAGCACCTGTTGTTTCCTGACTTTTTAATGATCGCCATTCTAACTGGTGTGAGATGGTATCTCATTGTGATTTTGATTTGCATTTCTCTGATGGCCAGTGATGATGAGCATTTTTTCTTGTGTCTTTTGGCTCCATAAATGTCTTCTTTTGAGAAGTGTCTGTTCATATCCTTTGCCCACTTTTTGATGGGGTTGTTTGTTTGTTTCTTGTAAATTTGTTTGAGTTCATTGTAGATTCTGGATATTAGCCCTTTGTCAGATGAGTACATTGCAAAAATTTTCTCCCATTCTGTAGGTTGCCTGTTCACTCTGATGGTGGTTTCTTTTGCTGTGCAGAAGCTCTTTAGTTTAATTAGATCCCATTTGTCAATTTTGGCTTTTGTTGCCGTTGCTTTTGGTATTTTAGACATGAAGTCCTTACCCATGCCCGTGTCCTGAATGGTATTGCCTAGGTTTTCTTCTAGGGTTTTTATGGTTTTAGGTCTAACATGTAAGTCTTTAATCCATCTTGCATTAATTTTTGTATAAGGTGTAAGGAAGGGATCCAGTTTCAGCTTTCTGCATATGGCTAGCCAGTTTTCCCAGCTCCATTTATTAAATAGGGAATCCTTTCCCCATTGCTTGTTTTGTCAGGTTTGTCAAATATCAGATAGTTGTAGATATGCGGCATTATTTCTGAGGGCTCTGTTCTGTTCCATTGGTCTATATCTCTGTTTTGGTACCAGTACCATGCTCTTTTGGTTACTGTAGGCTTGTAGTATAGTTTGAAGTCAGGTAGCATGATGCCTCCAGCTTTGTTCTTTTGGCTTAGGATTGACTTGGCAATGTGGGCTCTTTTTTAAGGAGAACTACAAACCACTGCTCAATGAAATAAAAGAGGATACAAACAAATGGAAGAACATTCCATGCTCATGGGTAGGAGGAATCAATATCGTGAAAATGGCCATACTTCCCAAGGTAATTTATAGATTCAATGCCATCCCCATGAAGCTACCAATGACTTTCTTCACAGAATTGGAAAAAACTACTTTAAAGTTCATATGGAACCAAAAAAGAGACAAGGGAACTTTTCCTGTTTCAGTATTATTTTCAAAGACATATTTGAAGGCATTCCAGATCTGTGAGATATTTACTCTAGTTTTAAAACTGCACTTTATGCAAATGAGAGTACTTTTAGGAGAAGTAAAGAAAAAAATCTGAAAATGAATTATAATAAATAATAATATTTTTTATATTTTTTTCTTCAACTTATTTTAAGTTCTGAGGTACATGTGCAGGTTTGTTACATAGTTAAACGTGTGCCATGGTGGTCTGCTGTACAGATCAACCCATCACCTAGGTATTACGCAGAGCATCTATTAGCTATTCTCCCTGATATTCTCCTTGCCCCTGCCCCTGCCCCTGCCCCTGCCCCTGCCCCTGCCCCTGCCCCTGCCTTGCCCTGACAGGCCCTAGCATGTGTTGTTCCCCACCATATGTCACATGCATTTGCATCATTCAGCTCCAATTATAAGTGAGAACATTCAGTGTTTGGTTTTCTGTTCCTGCAATAGTTTGCTGACGGTAATGCCTTCCAGCTCCGTCTATGTCCCTGAAAATAACATGATCTCATTCCTTTTTATGGCTCCATAGTATTCCATAGTATATATGTACCACATTTTCTTTATATAATCTATCACTGATGGACATTTGGGTTGATTCTAAATGTCTAAATATCTGAATGTCTAAATGTAGGAAGTTCATTAAAAAGTCAAAGTAAGTCTCAGAGAAATCATTGTTTCTTTTTTTTTTCCTTTAAAGGAGTCATTTCTGAAATAAAATTTTTATAAGGAACAGTAAGAAGTAAGAAGGGACTATACAGACCTTCCAGAATATATACCTTATTTTTATAGAATGTATATGCTGTGATCCCTGAATAATAATGCTCTTGAAAAAGACATGGTCTTGACTGTACTCCATGCTTCTTTAGATTCCTCCTACCACAACCTTGAATTTCTAAGTAGGGCAGTGGATAACACTCCAGTTAGTAGGTCTAAACATGAAAATATTTTAGTATGTGATAGGTGGTCACACTATCTACTGACCTTTTGGAAACAGCCTGATAGCTGTATGTTTTATGAACAACATTTACAATACAAGCTGCTCCTTTAATCTCTGAGACCATGGTGTGATGCAGTTTCACCAGTTCGGGACTTTTCCTGGACCATTATAAACATCAGGCCGGGCGCAGTGCCTCATGCCTGTAATCCCAGCAATTTGGGAGGCCGAGGTGGGTGGATCACTTGAGGTGAGGAGTTCAAGGCCAGCCTGACTAACATGGTGAAACCCCCCCTCTAATGAAAATACAAAAAAGAATTAGCAAGGTGTGGTGGCATGCGCCTGTAATCCCAGCTACTCAGGAGGCTGAAGCAAGAGAATCGCTTGAACCCGGGGGTGGAGGTTGCAGTGAGGTGAGATCACACCACTGCACTCCATCCTGGGTGACACAGCAAGACTCCGTCTCAAAAAAAATTAAAAAATAAAAAGAACATCAAAATTGATATATTCAATAGGCACATTTTTATATCTTTATTGTAAAACCTCTTTATTGTAAAAACTCCCTAAAAACAAATTCAGGAAACTGTCATGTAAGAAACCATCAAAATTACAATTTGAATCAGGCGCCACTCTTCTATAATTTAACAATGACCTGAAATTTAAAATTCTGAATAATGGTTGATCCTGTATTATATTTTCCCAATGGCATCAAATCTTTTTTATCTAAGGTGAAGTAAAAATAGAGCAAGATAGCTTTATGTCATTTTAAAAAATTTCTTTTCAAACAGTAAGTAATCAAGTACATCTCTAGTCAGGATCTCTTATGGTAATTCTGACTGTTTTAATTACAAATACTGGGAAGCATGGCACTAGCATCAAGCTTGTCATTATATTCTCAAGTTTCTGGGTAAAGGCCATATTCAATTAACTATTAAGGGTTTTTTAAAGTAAACTTACAATTCATAATAGCATAATATTTTAAGACTCCAAAAGAAACAAAATCAATAATATTCACACACAGTGAATAAGAAAAATAAGGTAATCCTTGTCTTCAGGGGTTTACAGCATAGTGAAAAAGTAAGATAAAAACTTGTTATACTACAATGTTAGAGGAGTATAAAAGCTCACTAGTTCAAAAGGAAACATAGTCAAAAGCAAATATGATATAAAGTGCCAGTAGTTCAATATAAGGAACCTCAGATCTGTAACTTTATAAAAACATATAATCTTTATTTTTCCAAGAGTCAAATCAATGTTTCTCTTTTTGTTAGGTTATACTTTCTATAACTGCATTTACTTATTCACACATTCAGTCAGTAAAAATATATGGAACACTTACTGTATACAGGAAAATAAAAGCTTGTGACAGACAGTCTTTTTGGTACCTACCCAGAAGTTGCTTTGCTTATTGGTAAGGTTTGCAACGTTTTGCATTTTCACATTAAAACAAGTTCTATTAGTTTTTTTATTTCAGGTAGAGATGAATATCAACCTATTTTATGAAAATACATTTTTACTGACTCTAGCCCATATCTGTAAGTTAAATAATTATTTCCAGAAAAGGTATCTTGAAATAGAAGCCACTTGCCCACTCAATTAGCCCAGAACCAAAGGCAATGTTCAGAAGATAAGAAAACACAGAAGTTAGTTGCATGTGTCTGATCAAATTATCCGAATGAAGCAAAACACAATACACAAAAATCTGTAAGATGTTATTTTAGTTGGGAGGCTGTGACAAGAATGTCGTAATTCTTCAACAAAAAGTCTGGCCCTTGTTTTGATTTTTTTTTTTTTTTTTCTTAAGTGGTACCATCTCATATGTTGCCCAGGCTGGACTCGAACTCCTGGGCCCTAGTGATCCTCCTGCCTCACCCTCCCAAGTAGCTGGGAATACAGGCATATTTTTTTTCTTTTTTGAGACCGAGTCTTGCTCTGTCACCAAGGCTGGAGTTCAATGGTAAAATTTTTGCTCACTGCAACCTCTGCATCCCAGGCTCAAATGATCCTCCTGCCTCAGCCTCCCAAGTAGCTGGGAATACAGGCATGAGCCACCATACAGGCATATTTCTTAACACTTTTGTCAAAATCTCTTTATGCAAAAAAATAGTAGAATTACACACGAATAAACTTTTTTAAGTGGTGGAATTTGATGTAGGGGTAAAAGATTATTCACAGGACCTGTGCCCAAGAAATGTGACAAGTTCTCAGGACAGACAGGATCCAGAAACTGGAAAGTCCTAAAGAGGTTGAGAGCTTCCTCTGTCCCTCCATGCTTCTCTCTGCATAACTGCTTCATTTGTTTTACTTCTACATGCTCTTAGCAGAAGATGGCCACTTTTCAGCTTCACTGGCATCATTTAGGTTCTAGAACACAGCTGAGTCCAATCACTGGCAGCAGGTAGATTGTATGGTTTATAGGTAGCTGACAGTAGAGCATTAGGGAGGTGGTTCAGATTTTAGAGGAAAATAGTCATCGTAGACCCGGTAGATACTCAAAAAGATGACTAATATTCTTATTAACATAATATCTTTAGATATTTAAAGTCGGTCTTAGCATATACTTGTATTAAGAAATGTCTCTTTTTTGTTCTAATTAGAAACAAAAAATAGTGAAAAACAATTATTTAAACCAACACCACCTAAGTGCAAGTGATTTTATAATAGGAAATATAGAAAATTACTATCAAATGGTCCTAAAATTCCACAAAATATAATGGAAAACTATTAATGAAATTACTGATAATAAAAACTCAAAGAATCAAAAAATAGGAATGAGTATTTGTAGCAAAGTGATTACAACCTATATTATTTAAGCAGGTTAAAAAATACATTGACTTCAATAGGTAAATAAGCCAGTGACATGAAAAGATAATGTACGTAAAAGGAAAGACAATGAACAAACAAACATGAAAAATGTTTTTCCTGCACCAGAAATAAAAACTGAAACAGGAAGATAATATTATCTACCTACCAAACAAGCAAAATTATATAATTATACTGTGAAATTCTAAAAAGCTTATGGTGAAAATGGTATATTCAAACATTCCTGATGGCACTTTAAGCTGATGAAACTCCTTTAAAAAGTAAATACGGGAAAAAAATTGACTTGTAGTATCATTTCTGGGATTTTCTTCCAAGGAAACAAATAACTGCATAAATCTAAAATATTTATAAGCATAAAATTATCATTAGGGTATTTTTATTATAGTATAAATTTAGAAGCATATTAGAGACTATCTACTAATAGGAAAATAGCTGAGGAAATTGTGAAAATGTTCACTTAAGGAAATACCTAACAGATAAAAGTGGTAATTAAAATTTAAGTGATAATAATTAAGACTGAATAGTAGGATAGAATATTGGATATAATCCTAAAAGAAAAGCAAACTGTACAAAAGTACAGGGTTTGTAACCACAAATTGTATATACATATTGATAAGGATTATATGAAAAGAAAGCAATTCATTTTGGGGTAGCAGTTTAATTATGTGTGAATTTATTTTTCATTTTGTTTTTTATTAATGTCAGTAATTTTATGACAAAAAAGTCTTCCTGGGCAGATTTATTTGTGTACTGTGACATGCACAATATCCCTTCTGCAAATTTCAAAGCCTTCTATTGCTTTTGCCATAACCAAATTTTTTCCCTGAATATTCCTAACCAAATTTCTTGATAGCTAGATAAATCTACCAGCTGTTGCCAAAATAATAATCTCTTATAACTTTCAGTTATTTCATTAAATTCAATCTTAGACATTTTTAAAGCAGTATAAAAATGCTTCTTATATAGAGAGTCTTCTCTGCTAACTCATCTAAAACTTCCACCACATTTTACCAAACAATTTTCAGTCTGATGAATGGAATGTCAAGGACTTGTTTTTATTTGATAATAAAAACAAAATAGGATTAGAGCTCTGATGCTTCCCCTTAAAGTGGAGCCCATTATCATGGCTATAAGGCCCTAGGGGTCACCAAGGGCATTTTTGTTTCACAGCCCCAGTCAATAAATGACACTTATAATGGAAGTACTAATGCATAAAAATGCATCATCTACCTTGTTTAAGGGAACAAGGGAGTGTCAGTCTACTTCAGATATATTTCTGTTGTAACAGTAAAATGCAATAAAAATGTTTGAATAGAGACAATAGAACTGAGTTCTATTTTGTGTTAATTCCTCTAAACATAAATTTTACTTTCATTACATAGCTTGTATAATAATAAAATAACATTGGCTTCATAGTCATTTTGCCCATATAGGATCAATTTTATAAAAATGGCATTTTCCAGCATTAAGCAAAGCAACCGCTTAGATTATTTTTAATATGTGCACACTTGAGCTCTGGATTTTGTTCTATCTCATATGCACTTAGATTTGTTTTTGACAGGACATAGAGAAAGAGTAGAAAGGAATATCCTTTCCTCAACAGGTCCCTAGACACTTTAAACATTAATTATTTGCTATCTCAAAAATCTGTAACTACTGCATATAGTCTATCTTTACTATACCCACTCATTGGAGTATTTTTCATTCCTTCCTAAATGTGAGCTTATTCAGAGACAGGATTATGTCTTGCCAAAACTATAAACAATATCTGATCATCTGGAGTTTACACCAGATGTTATTTTTAAATACTGAGGGCTTTTATGAACTGAGCTCTAGGCCAGTCACTGAGAATATGATGATGATTAAAACTCTACCCACAAAGATATTAAAACGTATTGAGGAGAAGACAAACAAGAAAATAGACAATAACAAGAGACTGAATCTTGGTAGGGGCCGCATTTGCATAATAAAATTATAATTAACAATTTTTAATCTTTTAGATTTTGATTTATTAATTATTTTTATTGTATATATTTGGAAGCACAACATTCTGCTGCAAACATCAGCTATGTTTAAAGAAGAAAAAGCTGTCAGTGACAGTCTAAATTCAGCAAAGAAGCCCTGCAGGTTCACCCCAAGTCTGAGACCTAATATACATCCTGATAAATGATCAGTTTTAATCAATAGCACCATTTAGAGAATATAAATGTCATTTTTAAAAATCGTAATACATGAACTAGTTGCACTGGCCATAGCCACCCAGAGTTCAAGGATCGGTCAGTATTAAATACTAGCAGAACACTAATCAGAGGGAAAATATACCACATAAAAATTTCTCTATAAGTGTTTCAATTCAGGAGACAGAGAAACCGCATATATTGCAAACTTTCTTGTGGAAATATTTTAATTACAAAACTTTTGAATAAGAATTTTTTGCAAATAATATAAGACATTAAACTCTAGTTTATCAAAAATTAAAATGCTGGAGAAGCACATCTTACATCTGTATCATTAAAAGAGTAAAAACTGATTTGTAGGATGTCATTTATGATCCTCTCAGTGAGTGCCTGCAATTTCTTCCTTACTCTACTGTTCAGGGTTTGTTTTTTTTTTTTCTTTTCAGTTTGACTGCTTGGAACACAGCCTCTGAGGTAAAGCAGGGAAAGCTTAAACTATATACTTGACAAGCACATGTAAAATGATGCAGCAGATTAAAAGCCACAAATGCACTAAATGTAGCAAAGGTATGAGATGGAGAGAAGTTGAAAAAATAATGACTGCATTCCAAAAGAACCATAAAAGTGGGGCCCATTATCATGGCTATAAGGCCCTAGGGGTCACCAGGGGCATTCTTGTTTCACAGCCCCAGTCAATAAATGACACTCACAATGGAAGTACTAATGCACAAAAATACATCATCTACTTTATTTAAGGGAACAAGGGAGTATCTGTCTACTTCAGACATATTTTTATTGTAATAGAAAAACGCACTAAAAGTGTTTGAAATACAAAGGAAAATTACAGTCATGTGGAAAATTTATTTTAGTGTACCATCTAATGTTATAACAATTTCAGAAACATAAATTCTGTAAAATTATATCTTCATTTCCTAAGCCTGGGTATTTGTATTTTAGCAAGCTATCATGTATGCTTTACAATTCAGATCTTTAGAAATGTATCATGTTTAACTATAAAGATCCTTTGAACTAAAAATTACTATCCTGTCAGATTTTCTCTGCATTCACACATAGGTATGTTATGAATCTATAATTAAATATACCCATTAGATAAACTACAAAAGTTACTGGCTGCCTCCATAAAACTCAACAGTCAACATAATATTAGCATAAGATGAGTTTCCTAGGCCTACAATGTCATATATTTTTAAGAAAACTTACTTTAGTATAATTCAACTAATAAAGTGGTCATTATATTTGTTTGTACCCTCTGTCTTTTAGGTATCTTTTTTTTCTCCTATTTGTTTTCATAATAAATGTCTCTTTCAAAAAAATTATTATCTGTTAGCATGAATAGAAATCAAAATGAAATAGTTTATTTGTAAAGCATTTTGTTTATTAAAGAACAGAATAATTAGAAAGACAACCTGCAAATGGTAATCCTGCCCTCCACCACAAAAGTGGCTTATATGCTATTGATATCTTGTCTTAACTTGACACTATATGCTGAATGATTTTACTAAAAGACCAACTCATGTGTGCCCTCACTTTAAATAAATCCCTTTGGCTCAGAGTATTCAGCAATCAAGATTCTTTGCATAACACCCTCTGAAATTTATTATGGATTAAACATACTCAAGATAAAATGGAAATAGCAATCATGTTCAGAAGTTTTGGGGGCATGCCAAGTATCTACAATGATCTCAATTTTTTTCCCTAATATCATTTATCAGAAGCACTTCTTCTTTTTAATATTTAAAGAATGCACACTTACTAAAAATAGGCCTCACAGGTAGCCACTACCATGTGACTTAGCATTCTGAGGCACCTATGACATTATTATATATGCCACTATTATATATGCCATCGGAATTTAACAATCATTGAAGTTTCAGGTGAATTTAATTAAGCACTGATTTGTTCTTTAATTAGAGACCTTAATATCTATGTATTGTATGAGAATATCACTTTATCATATATTTTACAGGACAAATAAGTAGAACAATCAAGGCAGCAAAGAGTTTTATACAGGTTGACATAATCACTACACATTATTTATTTGCATGTTTTAATTAGAAAAGTTGATAAGCCTTTGAATAAAACCTAGAGAGTTGAGGTAGATGAAATACATATATATATATATATATATATATATATATATATATTCATCAACTCAGTTATTCCAGTGACCAGAGTTTTTAGTTGATGCTTATTAGATGACTGTCATGTTGTAAATCAGTATTTTCTCATGAGGAGGGCTGAAGATTAACTATGATGACTGTTTTGTTCACAAGGTGGACATTTTTAACTGTGAAAAATTATGTCATAATACTCACATTAACTAAGTTATGACAACTTTGTTTAAAAGCACACCAGTTTGTAATGTACATTCTTATTTGTAAGCTGTCTTTAAAGGAAATTTCATGTTTTTAATGCAGGTACCCATTCCCAACTGGTAAACCAAAAGAGTCAATTATTGGAGCCTAAGAAAAAAACATATCTGATGATGGGTTTATATTTTTCAACATTTGCACTCTATTTTAAAATATAACTTTTCAGAAGATCTCAGAAACTCTTTGACAATTCTTAACCACAAAAGTTTTCCAAGACCTTCCATCATCTGGAGTAAATATTGTGTTTCAGCTCTTTACACGACCATAGCTAAATCCTTGCATAATATGCCCACTAGCTTTAGTAAGAGGGCAAAGGGAAAATAAATGTGGATAAAGACGGTGTTAAAATAAAATATTCCACAGTATTATCCAGAGATTATTTAGGATAATATATAGTGTATTAGTCCATTTTCACACTCCTATAAAGATACTACCTGAGACTGGGTAATTCATTTAAAAAAAGAGGTTTAACTGACTCACAGTTCCACATGGCTGGGAAGTCCTCAGGAAACTTACAATCATAGCAGAAGGTGAAGGGTAAGCAGGTACCTTCTTCACAAGGCAGCAGGAGAGAGAGAGAGCACAGGGGAAACAGCCACTTTAAAAACCATCAGATCTCGTGAGAATTCCCTCACTAGCACAAGAACAGCATGGGGGAACCACTCTCATGATCCAGTTGCCTCCCACCAGGTCCCTCCCTCGACACGTGGGGATTACAATTTGAAATGAGATTTGGGTGGGGACACAGAACCAAACCATATCATATAGTCTGCAAGGAAATTATCTTGTTGTTTATCTATACTCTTGTATTCCCTGATTCTCATTATGCTTTTCTATACATCACCCTGGAAGACTTCCTCTCTTACACTTCATACAAAAGACAAAAGGGATGGATTCATGGATCAATAGCTTGACAGATCAATCAATGGATAAATGAGCATGCATATATACATATACATAAGTGATATTTATTGTTACTCTGTATGATGTAAATAAAATGTTATATTTTCTGGGAAAGTGAATTAAATACATCCAAATGCCTTTTAATTTTCTGTTAAAAACCTAAACATTTGCACAAATAATTTATAAAATTCAGCTGTGTAAACTAGATACAGAGAATATTTAGCTGACAAATTTAAAAGCCTAACAAATACAACACCTGAAATGATCATGATACATCATTCTACTAATTAGGGGAAAAGCTCCCATTGTTGAAGCTTGTAGAATGAATTTCTTTTCTCAGCAATTCAAATGACAAGTGGTGTATATTTACAGGCAAGCCCATAGAAGTCTTACAGGTGAAAAGATGAACTTTCCTTTTACATTCCTGAAACCAAAAAAATGAAAATCTGTTTGTTTTGCAATTAAAAATACAAATTTGTATTAGTGTCCACCTCTAAAATGTGCATATTTTTATCTTCAGTACCTAAATATTTAAATATATATTGCATTTTAATAGATTCTGTCTGAACTGGTTATTAAATACAGTTCACTATGAGATTTAGTCATCTAGAAATAAATTTAATATAAAGACTACATGCTAAGGAGAAAATACCACAACTAGAAAATTTATTTGGAAAGCAAATAAATTGAATCCATATTATTAAAACCTAATCTCAAAGACACCAAAGTTTCATTAACACTTGTCATCCATATTAAGACAATTTTAAAAGATAAAGAACTGCATATATTTTAGCTCTGTATACAACACACAAATATTTCATTCAAGTGAAAACAAATCCTGATTGAGAACTGTAAAATATCTTAAAATCTCTTTAAGGGGTCTTTGTTTTAAAAAAATATAAATGAATTTCAGTCTTGTAGAATATTAACTTTTAAATATATTATAAATCTGAAAGAAGAGATTGTTATTTACTACTGGAGCTATTGAGACTTCTAGTAACCACATTTTATGTTATTTACAACAAAGTATTATAAATTGTCTACTCACTCTAAAGTGTTTATTGATATGCCAGAAATCCTTAATATGAGGATTTTTAAAAATCTATGTGTTAAATATCCATAGGATTATTGGAAAATTTTGGTTAATGTGTAGCTGGAATTTTTAAGCTTATTAAAATTATTTTTGTGTACATTTCATAATCAAAATGTTCTTGACATCTACAAAGTTTGTTAAATGAATACATGTGATTAACCAAACATTTAAGCATGAAACACAATATTTGATGAATTAAATATACGTAGAAATTGCAAATAAAGTCCATTGACTTTCGGCCAATCAAGGCAGAATCTCTTTCTGCAACATAAATATTAGCAATGGAAATGAAGAAAACAAAATTTATGATTGGCTAACTGTTCTTTCTGCTGTGCATACTATTATATATGTATAAATATATATATATAGTGAGTTTAAAAATAGATAGATGGATGACAGATAGACATCTAACTCATCACAAACAAGATAAAGTATGTTTTCATCATCCTAAAAAGTTTCCTCTTTCCATTTTGTAGGCAATCAACTCAACCATACCTTTAGCTTCTTTCAAGTATTGATGTTTTTTCTGTCCCGATGGAATTACTTTTATAAGAATGTTATATAAGTGCATTTACACAGTATGAAGCCATTTATGGCTGTCCTTTTTTACTTAGCTACTTTACTTTTTCTTTATTTAGGCTTTGAGATTTACTTATGTTTTTGAATATGTGGGAAGGGTGTTCCTTTATATTACTTACTAGCGTTCCACTATCAAGATGCACCATATATTGTTTGTCTATTCACCAGCCAATAGATATTTGGGTTACTTCTAAGTTCTGGCTATTTTGATTCAAAGCAATATTAACATTCACATATAGGTTTTGTGTGGACAAATGTTTTCACTGATCTTAGTTTTCTGTTTCTGCATAACAAATTAGTACTCGCAACACACATTTATTATTTCAAATTAATGCCATGATTCTGTGGGTCAAGAGTCTGGTATATTTTAATAAAATCTTCTGCTCAGCATCCCACTAAGCTACAATCAAGATGCAGGCAGGTCAGGGCTGTAACATCATCTGAGATTTGGGGTCCTCTTCCTATCTCATTGGTTGTTGGCAGAATTTAGTTCCTTGAATTGTAGGATTGAAGACTTCACCTGCTGGATGTCACCAGGGGCTCCTGTCCACTCCTAGAGGTCACTCACATCTTCTTGCCACATGACCCCTTTCAGGATACAGCTGTTTGCTTCTTTGCAGCAGCAAGAGAATGTTTCTCTCATGTGGAATTTCTAACTTTAGAACAAGTCTTATATAATACAATGTAGTCAGGGAAATTACTATCCCATTACTCTGGCCACATAGTGTAATCTAATTAAGGGAGGGAATATGTCATTATATCCTCTGGTCTCCCCACAGTAAAGCTGTATCATTTCGAAGAAAACATACGAACAAAAAACTCATACATGCATTGTTTTTCCCCAGAAGCAATGGATGATAACTGACACTGGAGCTTCATAAAAGAGATCAGGGACACAATAGCTCATCCTTCTCAGATTCTTCCTCACCAACCACCTGTTTATGTATTTGGAAAATGAAACTTTTAAAAATATATAATGTAAACTACAGGAAGTAAAGCTCAAAGACATTTTATTTTATGGTAGTAGAGACCAAAGGTAGACTAGTTTCTACCTTTTAGAGATTCTTGGGGTGGGAAAATATCAGAGATGTCACTGAGAAGAATGTATTCAAAACTAAATTATGAAAGAAATTAGGTTTTCATGTTTATCAAAAGCAGACATGGCTTAAATGTAAACGACTGATCTGATCAACACTGACTAAAATCAACAAGTAAATCTTATGATGCTCTAAGTAGGCCTGATATACTAGAGAATAATTAAAAGGTCAAGATAATATTTAAAATAACACATTAGAAAAGACTACACAGTCTCTCAGACGTTAAATTTCCTCAAGTTTTTCTTTAAATGTACCAAGTTTTCAAGATTTTCTTAACAACTAAAATGAGATTGGATTTTATGTGAATTGGCATTAATTTTTAAGTGATATATTGTGGGTGCATATAAATTTCAGAATACTTTAGTCACATGTATTCATCTACAACAATAGAGTAATTGGTAATACATGCCTTGTAGATGTGGGATTTGAGGATGACAGTTGAGTATAGTTAACTCATGATTAAAGTGAATCGAAAGAAAAATATTTAAAAGAAGAGGATGTATTTAAAAGTAAAAACCTATAACTTGAGAATTTTGGAAATGTGGGGATTTGAAAATAAATGTAAGACACCTTATTAAATTGTGTTTTTTAGCATCTTAGTGACTGGTCCAAAATCCTGGTTTTTTTCCTGCCACCATTTAAAGGCCCTCATCTATTCTCAAAAACTGTAGGAATCCCCTAATTCCTAAGAATATGTTATATGATTAGTCACTTTACCTGGTGCTTACCTTAAGCAATAAAGCGTGATGCAATATTTAATGTCTGTGTAACCCAGATCAGTTTGAGACTTACCTTCCATATGGAAACTTAAGAAAATGTAATTTAAGACTACAGATATATTACCGTGAGCAAATCTGGCACTCTCTGAACAAGTTCTACCAATCTCCATACTAACTTCTAGCAAGTTTTAAGATTGTCTATCTGCCTTGTCTCTGCTCTTGTGTTTAAATTAAGATCTTGATTCATCTCCTTGAAAGGCACCATGTTAACCCTTTTGCTGATTTCATTAAAAGAGTTGGTCATATGAATCCACCTGGGCCCAGGCTCACACCTGTAATCTCAACAGTTAGGGAGGCTGAGGAAGGAGGATTGCTTGAGCCCAGGAATTCAATACAAGCCTGGGCAACATGGTGAGACCCCCCATCTCTACAAAAAATTTTAAAAATAGCCAGGCATGATGGTGCACCTGTGGTTCCATCTACTCAGGGGGCTGAGGCTGAAGAATTGCTTGAGCCCAGGAGGTCGAGGCTGCAATGAGACATGTTTGTACCACAGCACTCTAGCCTGAGTGACAGAGCAAAACCCTGTCTCAGAAAGAAAAAAAAAAGAATCAGTTAATTTGGTAATTTCACTGAAGTATGAATGTTTCACAGGGAAATTAGGTTCCAGACTATAGAGCCCTCTGCCATCTCATTGGTTTCAATACCACACTCTGCTGCCATCTGAAGAAACTGCATCCTCCCTGTACTGGCACAACCCCCAGGAGATGCAGCCCCCTTCCTTCCTTCCTTCCTTCCTTCCTTCCTTCCTTCCTTCCTTCCTTCCTTCCTTTCTGTATCTTTCTCTCTCTTTGTCTCTCTCTCTCTGTCTCTCTCTCTCTCTCTCTCTCACACACACACACACAGAGAGAGAGAGAGAATGTGCTGTGCTCCTCTGTCTTCCTTCCTTCCCCATGCATTCCTCACCTTGTCAGTGATTCTGCCATATGAGATCATTACCTATTCGCAAAAGTCAGAACCATTTTCTCAGATGAACATCTAATCTGATTTTTAAAAGGCTCTGTGGGAAATAAAGTCTTCAATATCCAACTTTACACTTTAAATGGTTTTTTGCCAGCAACTTTTCCTTTCTTAATAAGTTACAATAAATGTTGATTCTGGTTTGTGACAGATGGTTCATCTCTAAGAGCCCACAACAGTGAGTTAGATGTTTAAAATAAACTTGTAAAAAACAGGCACCAGGAGAAATGCATCCAGACCTTGTTCCACAAAGTCCTTTCCTAGACTGTCATATAAGTATGCATTTGTATGTGAATGAAGCAAAAATAATTCTGATCTATCATAAATGAGACTCTCTGCAGGAGTCCCCACCAAAGAATATGTCTGTCCCTGCATGCAATCTCAATTGCTACTGAATCTAATTCAGGACCCGTTTGTGATATTTTATTACATAGCTAGACATTTTGTACCTGCTAAAATTGGCATATCCTTTTCAGAGCACTCCTTAAATTGTTACTAAATGAAAAGAATAAACTTAGGTATTATGTTAATTAATCAATTTTCAAAAGAATACTGGATGTTTTCCACAATGTTAATGCTACTTGTTATCTCTGATTACTGTTGTAGTTCACCAACATCTCATTTGGTTTTTAATCCGTCTCAGCTCTAATATGGGTCACTTGGGGCAAAGTTGACTAAAGAGAGGTAGTTTACAGTAAAGTGCTGGAGGAGTCAAAAAGGTACAGAAACTGTGGTTTGTTTTTTACCCTACACAATAAGTTCTCAATCAGAAGTTAACTTTACATTACAAAAACAATGACTTGTGTTTTGTTTCATGTGGGTTTTAATATATTTATTTTTCTCTAGGAAGAGTTACCTTAGAGCTCTCAGCACATTGAATCAATTGTCTTTGGCACATTGAGTAATCCACATATAACTTACAAGCTGAAGACTGTTAAAGGGAAGAAGAGCAGTATGTGCAGAATAAAAATCAGGCAGACATTGAATTAAGAGTCTAAATATGATATCATCTTACATATTACACGTGCTGTGTCCTTGGAGTAAAAAGAAAAGGGCAGAGTTTATTTAATGTTTCACTTGGTTTCATTAAAATTTCTCTTGCTCAAGTAACACAAGAAGAAAAAAGCCAAACACCACATGTTCTCATTCATAAGTGGGAGTTGAACAACGAGAACACATGGACACAGGGAGGGGAACATCACACGCTGGGGCCTGTCAGGGGGTGGGGGGCTGGGGTAGGGATAGCATTAGGAAAAATAGGAGTTGATGAGTGCAGCAAACCAACACGGCACATGTATACCTATGTAACAAACTTGCACGTTGTGCACATGCACCCCAGAACTTAAAGTGTAATAATAAATTGTTTAAAATTTTCTCTTGCTCAACAAATATATAATTCTGGAATATAGTATGGCAATGAGTCAGCCCACTGATTATTTCATTTGCTCTCTTATACTTCCAAATCTTTTTGCATTTAGGTGAGGTCATGTGACTAGTTCTGGCCAATGAAATCACACATGTCTTCTCCAGAAGACTGGTTATTAAATACTTCCAGAGCAAAGTACTTAATTACCAGTGCAAGACTGTCTTGTGTCTCTTCACCTATTGCATGAATGGGAAAGGCCACATCTTCCAGACAGTTCACATAGAAGGTGATGGAGCCTCTGTCAGCGAGGGTCCCTGACTGAGGATCCAAATCCCCACAAAATTCCAGCTACTAATTTGCACTGTATATGTTTCATGGGCCAAAAAAAAGAACTTGTTAAGTTAAGCCACTAAGATTTTAGAATTAATTACTTACTTCAACATATGGTAACAACACTGCAAAAATAATGAAATAATTATAAGAATAATGCAAAGAAAAAAGAGTTATTGTCCTTATTCATCCCTCTCCAATAGAAACATAGCTAAGAAAGAAGAACAAGCAGATACTGTTTTGTTTACATGGCCTATGAACACAACATTGGTGATGAAGGTCGGAAATAACACCTATAAAGGATATTTACATACATACGCATTCTCACAATTATACATATATTCAAACATATCCTAAGTAGTCTATATTCTGTTGGATTTAAGAAAGAACTATTGAAAATTATTATATACCACATTTGCAAGCCTCTTTTTCTAAGTAAATGAAATCCTTAGTTAGTCACTAAAGCCAAACTGTCCTTGAAGAGATTCCATTTATTTGCCTATCTTCAACATCATTTGACAGATGGGATTAATTAAAAGATATTGAGAATTGTTATTAAACTCAAAATACACAGGTAAACATCCAGAGAACACTTTCCAGATGGTCTTTTGGGAGTCTACATTAATTTTTCATGAAAAAAAAATTTGCTCTGTCATCAATCAACTAATCCTGACTACAATAAGTGCATTCTTCCCGTCTCAATTGTTTTATTAATTATTTGCTGCCATGTCCCCAAATTATTTTAGTAGGTGTTATTTTTCAAAGTTGACATGATTTGTGATTGAAAAAGGCAGTTTATAATATTCTATAGCCAGTAGATTAAAACACCTATTGCCTTTGGGGGCATGCAGTGTCCCCAACTCCATATATCAAAAGAATAAATGAATGACCGTAAGAAAGGAGAAATAATATATCTAAAAATGCTGATGCTTTAAAAATAAAATCCTTCATCAGGCATGGTGGCTCACAGCTGCAAATCCCAGCACTTTGGGATACTGAAGCAGGAAAACTGCTTGAGCCCAGGAGTTCAGGATCAGCCTGGACAACATAGTGGGACCTCATCTCTAAAAAATAATAATAAAATTAGCTGGGTGTGGTGGCACACACCTATAATCCCAGCTACTCACAAATGCTGAGGTGGGAGGATCACTTGGGCCCAGGGGGTCAAGGCTGCAATGAGCCATGATCACACCACTGCACTCTAGCCTTGATGATAGAGTAAGACCTTCTCAAAAATTAATTAATTAATTAAAATAAAAATCCTTACACTAATCTATAATGCAAAGCATACAATGGCACAGTTGGCTGGTGGAGAGGAGGTCATTTGAAGTGATCTGGGTCAAGCATAAGCCTGCCTTTACCTAGTATTTTGTGATTAGGAATTCAGCAAGTTTAATCATTACTTTCAGGTAGCTGTTAGAAGCTGCGTTTTCTAAATTGTGAAGAAAGCACGTCTTCAATAAGATGAGTAAAAACTAATGTACCCACAGAAACTGAGAGGAGTGAGCCATTGAGGAAACTCTTCTAGAATTTGGAGTTTCTCGTTCCACTATTACTGAGGCCTTGGATTTCAGTATTGTGCAACTGACATTTTAACGGGATCATCCACCACTTAAGACCTAATGGCTAGAAATTTTTAAAGATATCTAGCTAATGGACTTAAACCCTAATTCCACTATTTGTGAACAATTCAAAAAACCTCCCAAGATTTCCGTTAATCACTCAAGGTTCAACACATGGAGGGCAGGCCATCAGAGTGGCTTCAACTTATTTTCACATTCATCTCTGGTGCCTTAATTCTGTTGATAATTCTATTTTATTTTTATTTTTTATATATATATATATATATATATATATTTTTTTTTTTTTTTTTTTTTTTTTTTTTTTTTTTTGAGATGAAGTCTCATTCTGTCACCAGGCTGGAGTGCAGTGGCGCAATCTTGGCTCACTGCAACCTCCTCCTCCCAGGTTCAAGCAATTCCCCTGCCTCAGCCTCTGGGTAGCTGGGACTACAGGCATGCGTCACCACACCAGGCTATTTTCTTGTATTTTAGTAGAGATGGGGTTTCACCATGTTGGCCAGGTTGGTCTTGATCTCCTGACCTCGTGATCTGCCCGCCTTGGCCTCCCAAATTGCTGGGATTACAGGCGTAAGCCACCGCACCCGGCCAATATTTCTAACTAATGATGTCCTTCTCTGATTTGTATCAGTCCAATCATGGAATTCAGCTTCAATCTCTTTCCATAATTATTTCAAACAATTAAGTAAACTTCACAACTATAAGAAAATACTCTGACTCCAAAACTAGTTATTTGTGTGTATAATAGATTCTACTGAAGATTTAAAGGAGTCACAATAGGATTTACAATAAAGAAATAGAAACTACATAATTTTTATCATTAAACTTCTGGTAACCCCATTCCAGGATTTTTTCACTGACCCTGTGGCCCCCACTTAGAATTGCACCTTCCCCCATACTGCTGACTCCTTATCTTCCTCTATCCCATCTCCCTCTTTCATCTTCTTTCCAAAAGAACTATAAATTATCCTCAGAACAGTGCTTTGAAATTCAGCTCGAAGCCCAGATTTGCATTTTCAAATCCATCAAAGAACTCTGTAGAAAAGAAATTAATTTAACAGTGCTCATCTTTTAGACAATGGTTATTTTAAATAGCAATTTTTTCCACCATCACTTCCATAATAAAGTTGTCTTTTTGTTTATGCTAGGTCAACCTTGAGAGTTTCAAACACACAAATAAAGTCATAGTGCATTGAAAAAGACCAATGTGGATTGGTAAAATATATTATTTACATAACTTTTAAGTGAAAATATTTTCAAGTATATGTTGCACACCTGGTGGGGGGAGCAAATTGGTAGTAACATGACTGTTCTATACAATATTTTTATTAAATATTTTTATCTTCAAGAATATAGGGCACTTTCAGCCAGAGGAACACATGGTTGGCAAACAGAAGTCTTAGGGAAAATGCTTTAATTAACAAGGATAATAAATGTTGAAGTAAATGGAAGTGATATAATTAAATGCTGTGCTTCTAGAAGCCTTTAAGAGTTAGATTTTCTGCAATATTTGTATTAGTCTGTTCGCATACTGCTATAACGAACTATCTAAGACTGGGTAATTTATGAAGAAAAACGGCTTAATTGACTCACACTTCTGTACAGTAAGCATGCTGTACAGTAAGCATGGCTGGAAGGCCTCAGGAAACTTACGGTCATGGAGGAAGGCACAGAGGAAGCAAGCATATCTTACCATGGCATTGCAGGAGAGAGAGAGAGAGCATAGGAGGAAGTATACACACTTTCAAACAACCAGATCTTGTGAGAACTCACTCACTATCATGAGAACAGCAAAGGAAAAGTCCACCCCATAATTCAATTGCCTCCCACCAAGCCCCTCTCCTGACACGTGAGGATTACAATTTGAGATGAGATTTGAATAAGTACACTGAGCCAAAGGGGGTAAATCTATTTTTTCATAAAGGGTAAATTAAAAAGTGAAATTTAACAGTCCAGTCCTAAATTACCACCTTGCCTGAACTACAGTGATCTGGACAGAAAAACATATTCTAGGTGTCTAATTATGAGGATTTCTCCATGGAGACTTCCTCAAATAAGTAATGTATTTCTCATTTGAAATGTCTATTGTGTTTTTATTTAAAAATACTTAAAATGCTTAATTAATATCTCCTATGTAAGATGTGTTAACATCATTCAATCCTTTTATTTGAAACTCTGCGTTCTCCCTGAAATCAAGGATTAAATGCATGGAAAGGCAAATAAGAGGCTAGAGGAGAACACATAGAACTAAAATCAGTAAGATAATGACTTAATCAGTACAAATGGGAATGTATTTTCTTTTAAGGCCCTTTCTCTTGCAGTGTAGCATTGCCAGGTAACTGCCATATGTGTCTATTTTTACCTAGAAGAGGTGAAGAGCACTTTCAGCAAGGGCAACATTTGAAGCTTCCAGTTCTAGATTTACTGTCACAAGCAGAAACAGATTCAAAAATCAACATAAAGAGTAATACTTTATAAGAGCTTTGGCAGAAATGATGATGTTGCCTACAGATCCTCTTTTTAGAAGAGACTCACTGCTCAGCTGTGGAGAGTGTGGTTAGCTGATAACCTCAGCTGTTAGTTCCTTCAAGGTCTGACTTAGCTCCTGAGCCAAGTTTAATCACTTACATTGGCTCCCAGCCAAAGACTGATTAAAGCTAAGTAAAATGGACTGTAACCAACTCAGCTTTTCTCTAACATAAATCTTTCCTCCAGAGATCCCTACCAGGCTGGCAGAGACATTCTTAGTGTTGGGTACTACTTTGCTTGCCTCTTTCTTACTTCCTTTTTCTTTCATGAGTTTACTCTCCGGGATACTTTTTGCATTACCAACTTTGTTGCAGTATCTGATTTCCAGATAACTTAGGGGGCACAATTTTACCAGGAATGGCCCGAGAAGACAGGCATTAAGATGGGATATGGGACTGTTACTCACTCCTCAGCTAGCAATGTAGACTTCATCCTGAGTGGCAAGTGGAGCATGGACAACCAATTGTTAAAACGTTCACCAGTGGCCACCTGGGAGACTATGGTGGGGGAGGGCTGTTCCCTGAATACAGTGAGGATTCAGGCATTTGAACTGTAAAGGGGAATTGGTAAATAGAACCATAATGGAATTAAATTATTTTTACTAAGTTCATTGCTTCCCTAAAGATGGATATAAAAGGCTGAGAGAAATTAACAAATAATTACAAGCTAAGTGTGAGAGCAAGAGAGTTTGTTTGATAGCTAACAAGAAGCTCACTTCTCATAAAATGGGCAAGCAGAAAAAAATGAAGCTCAAGACCAGTATTTAGTAGTCAGAGATGCTAAACTTCAAAGGCAGTTAAATGTTCAAGGCAGGGCTCTCATGCCAAAGTCAGGTCCATAGTCAAGTAATACTGGGATACTGTCGCGTGGTAGAGGGACAAGGGGAACCCAGTTGATACTGACTCCCCACCATCCTTTGAATCCTCTCAACGTACAGAATGGTCTCACTCTTCTCCACTAAGAACTAGCACTCATCCTATGTGTAAAGACTATACAGAAATTTCTCCCATCCTTCCACACAAAACAACATATTTTCTCAGGAGCTTCCCCAGTCTCCTCACCTGGCCATCAGACCCATAGCCAAGGTTAATGCATCTAAGAAGTGTGGGGGGCTAATGAAGGAGGACATAAACTATACCCACAAAGGAGATAAGGCATGCAGCAGACAAATACAGAGGAGCCCAGGAAGTGCTTGTGAAACTGGATCCTGAATGTACTCAAAGAGGTGTGACTGTAAACTGAATAAGGAGGAATTTATTGACTTGGAGACACCCTCACTAAATATAGGATTGAACATCCTCACACAAAAAAGGAGATGATATTAATACAAATTTGTTGCTTGGATGTCTATTAGAAGCCTGGAAAAAGTCATGACCCCGGGTGAGTGAGATTGAAGTGCCTGAGTTGCTGTGGTGGATGCTAAATGAAGGGATTAAACAGCTCAGGGATTTAGGACCCCTTGAGTAGTTATTGATATGGTTTGGCTCTGTGTCCCCACCCAAATCTCATCTTGTAGCTCCCATAATTCCCACGTGTTGTGGAAAGGACCCGGTGGGAGATGATTGAATTATGGGAGCAGGTCTTTCCCATGCTGTTCTCGTGACAGTGAATGGGTCTCACGAGATCTGATGGTTTTAAAAATGGGAGTTCCCCTGCACAAGCTCTCTTTTTGCCTGCTGCCATCCCACGCACATAAGACATGACTTGCTCCTCCTTGCCTTCTGCCATGATTGTGAGGCCTTCCCAGCCATGTGGAACTGTAAGTCCAAAAATATCTTTCTTTTGTAAATAACCCAGTCTCGGGTATGGCTTTATCAGCAGCATGAAAATGTTATGTGAGGCCACAAGATTCTCCAAAAAACAAAATCTTTCTTGAGAAGGCCTAGAAGACATACTGTTTACCAGGATTATAACAAATGTGCAGGCCTGAGCATCATTAGCATCACTAAAATGGTCAGGGATGGCTCTGTTGTATAGGCCAAGGCTGATGGTAGAGGCTATCACAGAAACTCACTTGCTGATAGCAAAGGTAGGAAGCAACAAAAGCAAGGTGGTGTGGCTGAACTAGCAGAAGTCAGGGTTTTATAATTATTTTAACAAGCAACAAAATCAGAGGGCCATAGAGCATTATGAAGACGGTAAATAGAATATGGCACCTCCAAGGACAAAATAGGCAGGCAGTCATCAAGGTGCTGCTTAACATAATATCAAAAGTGAGCAAGACAGAAAGTAGAATAGTGATTACCAGTGGCTATAAGGAGGAAAGGGAATGAGGAGTTATTGTTTCATGGGTACAGAGTTTCAGTATGAGATGACAAAAAAGTTCTGGAGATGGATATGATGTTGGTTGCAAAAACAGTGTGAATGTACTTAATGCCAGAGAATTGTACACTTAAAAATGATTAAAATAGTAAATTTTATGTTATTTATATTTTGCTACAATGAGTAACATAAAAACAAGTGAGCAAGAATGAATGAGCAAAAGGCTAAAAGTGGTCACCTCAATAAAATGTCATAATCACTTGCCAGTTTCTTTGTCTGAGTCAGGTTTCAGGACCAGAACCTATTGACTAAAAGGTCAATAGATTCACTAAAGACATGAACACATCTCCAGAGGAAGATCCTGCCACGTGATGACAAATACACAGTGTAATGATCCTCTATCTCCCTCAAACAGACCTGTGGCTGTTTACCCAAGGAACTGTGCACCTGGAACTGCCCAGATGTTTTGAAAACGCAGGGTTCATGATGTTGATACCTGAAGACATGAAGTGTCATCGTAACCTCCACATTAGAGTGGGAGCATGTGAGAAAAAGGTAACAAATGGAGTCCTAAGCTAAGTCTGGCTTACCTTATATTAACCAGGTCTGTACACTCACCCAATGGCAATACCCTTAGCCCCTAAATGTATAGTTGAGATTGACATACTTGTCAATTAAAGAAACCCCAGCACTAGGTACTTGATCTACGAAGTAAGAGCAATTACAGTGGGGACATTATGTGTATGTTTTTGAATATATATATATATGTATCAAACTATTCCCCATAAGTATGTACAACTGCAATATGGTAATTAAAAAAATAAATTTAAGAAAAGAGACCATGTATAGAGAAGCTTGATAGGTCTGCTAAAAGCTTTCACCTCTGCATATTGGGTCTCATGTACCTGAATAACCAGTTATTGGGGAAAAAGATAGTGGGGACAGCCAAGTGGAAGCCTATGATAAAGGCTCCAACTCTCTGCAAAGATAAGAAATCAAAATCAGTATTATATTCTGGGATGAATTATGGAGACTAGTGCCACTTTTAAAAGTTTATCAAATGTATAAGTGGTGGTTCATACAATATACCATTTAATTCACCAATACAGCCCCCACAATAGCTAGACGGATCCTCGAGAATGTCTGTAGGCTATCTCGAGTTCAAATAGCATCCTTATCATAGCTGTCTTGCCAGGTGTGAAGTTCCACTAGAACGGATTAATTTTGATTCAGGTATTTGAAATGTAGGCATTGATTTTGCAAATTTTGTTCTTTCCTATCCAGTCAGAAAAGAGGACCAGGAACCAAATTCACATGCAACAGATAACAATACACACATACTGTTTTGGTTCAGGACTAGGCTAACTCTCCTACATTTCATCATAATCTAATCTCAAGAGAGCTGGGCCATCTGAACATCCCATGTAATATCACACTGATTATTTCAACATAAAATGATTGGGTATGGTGAGCAACTGTTGGCTAGAACCCTGGAAGATGTGATGAAACACACATGCTACAGAGACTGGAAAATGAAAGTTTTGAAGATTCAGGGAACTGCCTCTTCTTTAAAGGGGTCCAGTGGTCATGGGCACTGAGACATTGGTTCTCCAAAGTAAGGGACAGATTGGTGCATTTTGCATACTTTAGTACAAAGAAGGATTCATAGTGTCTGGTTCTTTGGGTTTTGGAGGGAACACATTCATTCCATACCTAAGAATAGTTTTGGGACCATATGTTAGATGACAAAAAGAAGTATCAGTTTTGAGTGGGGCCTAGAACAGCTCTGGAATTATCTGCTCAGTATTCCCCTCTCTGGTACTCTGTCTTCCAAACTTTATCCACCTTGGCCTCCCCACACTGTCTGCTCCATCTCCTCAACTGGTGTCTGCCAGGCTTTGCCGGGGTTGCCCCTTGCTTTACTACAGCTTGAAAACTCCCTCCAGGCCATAAGCTTGGGTAATTATGATTCATCTTGATTGCTGCTGTTACTCTAGGATCACTGTCCTTGTGTGTGTGTATGATAGTACAGTGGCACAATGACGGCTCACTGAAGCCTCCACCTCCTGGGCTCAGACCATCCTCCTGCCTCAGCCTGCCTAGTAGCTGGGACTACAGGTACAAGCCACCACACCCAGCTAATTTTTTTTTATAGAAACGAGGGTCTCACTATGTTGCCCAGGCTGGTCTGGAACTCCTGGGCTCAGGCAATCATCCCACCTCGGCCTTCCAGAGTGCTGGGATTACAGGTGTGAATCACTGTGCCCACCCATTTTATATTTTGTTTGTTATTTTTGGTGACCCGGTAAATGCAGCCCCTGTTAGTTCATCTTGATCAGAAGCAGATGTCTTCTCACGTCTTTAGAAATACCAATTTCTCATTAAGATGGAACTTGTAGATTTTCTGTTATCTCTTTGTTAAAGTATCTCTCTAAATATTACTTCCTATTTACATTGTCAAATTAAAAATCTCTCCAAGCATAGAGAGATAGTTTCATGATTCCCTATATTCAGACTGTCCTCTTTAAATATTAACTGGATTTTGAGGCTCTACTGCCCAATGCCCATGGGTGGCATAGGAAAGGTTACTTATGGAATTATTTGCAGTGGGCCTACCTTATTTTAAAGACAGGAAAGGTTATTTCCCCAAAAGAATATTTATAAATATGTTCTCTAAGCCAGAGTAGTAATAATTCCAAAGCTTCTGGCTCAGTGTATAAATCAAATATGAAAATCCATGATAACTTTTGAGACCTTTCCTGTAGGACTTAATTTAAGCTTTTTAATAAATCTGGATTTAACCAACTACCACTTAGGTTTAATTCAATTAAATAACTGTGTATGTATACTTTATTATGTATAAAGACCCACAGTGCCATGAGAAAGAGCAGGCAGAACCAACCCTTGATGTGCTGACATCATTACTATAGGGTAACTTAAGACAACTTCTATTCAACATAGCATGGTAAATCCATAAATGATGATTCCAATAAACTGTCACTGAGGATTAAATTAGCTCTCATGAAGAGTTGTAAAATTCTAAATGTGCCTTGTAGAGTTTCAGTTAGAGATAACAGGACAAAGCTGTCAAGAAAGTGGAACCAAAATTAACAAAGATTCAAATGTGAGAATACGTTTGAGAAATTCAGAGGAAGATGGATACAGATAATTCAAGCTGGCTAGAATGTAGCCTAAATGAATGGAAGTAAACTGGAAAAATGGAAGACAAATACTCTTTGTTGAAGGCTTTTATTATAAAGCAGAGGAGTTTCTACCTAATCACAGGAAGGAGATTCTGAAAGATTTTGAATTCGAGAATAACTATCAGCAAAATTTTTAAAAACTACAGAGGGGTGAGTATAAAATGATAACTTAGAGAATTGAGACATTAAAAGGATATGTAAGAGACATAAAAAGCAGAAAAATGAGGACAAAGCACAGATTTTTTTACAGAACATTTTACATAATATGCTGCTTTTAAAAAGTAAATAAAATTCTAAGGTACAAGAAAGAGCCTCATTATAGGAAAAAGATGTGAAGGAAGGGTAAGAGTGGCAGCTGATCTCTGAGTGCTCTCAGTTACAGAAAAAATGGTAAATCTTTAGAATACAAAATACAAATGTTTAATACTCTTAAAATTTCTCAACTTCAGAAACAAATTAAAATAATAAATAGGAGAGCTTTCAAACGTCAAAATATGACAAGACTGGTAATTTTCAGTGATGCACTTGGGCGATATATACCAAGAGGATTAAATTGTTCAAATCCATTGTCCTAGTAATTTCCCTTCAAAGAATCTCTTCTAATGAAATAAAAACTCAGAAAAATGTCTATGTGAAGGCAATAAATGTTTTATTATTTGAATGCTTAAAGCACTAACAATAGTTTTAATTTCTCAAGCATACGAAAATGATACTTTAAACCATGAATAAACTCATTCTTAACCTTTACCCCTAAGCCCCAGGGAATTCATCCTCACAGTCCCACGCATGTAACCATATTTCAGTAAGTTTTATAATCTATACCACTCACATGCTACAATGGGAGGATAGTCCCTTTCCACCAGATTACATGATACGAAACATAAAGCCTCTAGCACCACAGAGATCTCAACACAAATACATATACGAGACATACAGAAGAGAAAATGACATAGAAGAAAAAGGGGATGAATACAAAAGTACGATTATAAGGAAGGTTTCTTTGGTAACAAGTGAAAAAAACCTGCAAATTAAGATCTGCCCATGTGATTTCAACAGGCTTCTACTTTAAGAAAGGTGAAGACAATACAAAAATAAACTAAATGTGAACTAACCTCAAAAACGGTGCTAGCGAAAGCACAAAGTATCTGTGAAAATATTGTTGATTATATACGCTAATTGCTAGTACATATTTAATGTACTAACAACTAGTACATGTAGTCAACAACTAACAAATAGCAAGTTCCACAGAAGACATCAACGTCACTACACTCTACTCATAACCTCCCATCCACAAACAAATCATACGGCATCTGTTTAAAAAAATCAAAGAGCAATGTTTTAAGCAATTATTTTGCAATTACTTTAAAGATTCTTTCATATTATGCTTTGCCTAGTAATACTACATGAATCAACTTTAAATGAATTGCCATATGTTATAAAGTCACTGACTTACAGTTTAGTACTACATTTGGCATGCAACTCAAATTTATGTCTATATATGGGAAAATAGACTTCTTTACAAACTATTTTTTGAGGTATAGGTACTGAATAAAATTTGGTCTGTATTAGGAAAAAATAAACATCAACATACATATATATATATATATATATATAGTGTGTGTGTGTGTGTGTGTGTGTGTGTGTGTGTGTATAGAAATTTTAAAACACTGCTCTCTAATTATAGATTTAAGACTAGAAGGACCTTTAGGACATTATCTTAGTTTGGAATTGGCTTTCAGGCCAGGAGACAAGTGACTGTTTCAGAGCCACGAAGCTAGAAAGTACACAGGAAAATTTGAGGTTGTTTCCTTTTCCCTAATACAACATTGTTTCTACTACATCATGGTATCTCCCAGAAGTAAGAAGAGACTTAATATTAGCTTGTTTAGTTGCATCGAATAGATATTTTACATTTTTTAATAGAAATTCAATAAATTAGGTCTAGAAAGAGAGAAGACAATGATATCTTAGTATTTATTATATTTATTATAATTTCTTCCATTATAAAAACATGTTCATGCTCTCAAAAGACATTTGTGGCAATACATAATATATTTATTTTAAAGATAGCACATGGAAATGTATTCAGTGGAAACTATGGGTAAACACTATACTACACATTGACTATATTTACTAGCAGTTAGTGTACATAGTTAACATTAGTACAGCTCAGAGGAGACATTCTCCAAAACTGCATTATCAATAATGCCAGCTGATGCTAATAATAATTAGGCACTAGAGAAGAAGTTTGGATTAAACAACTAAATTTACAGATACCATTTACCAACGCTGTTTTGTTCTATTAGTAGTTCTGAAACTGAACTTCAAATGTGACATCCAGAAAACAATGAAAGTAGATATATAAGGATATTTTTCATCCAGGCATTATCTTAGTTGGCGTACAATGAATATAACTTATTTCTATATATTTAATACATTTTCATTTATATTATTTTTAAAGTGTCAAAAACAACCCAATATAATTTTTGAATTTTAGATGTCCATCATATTAATACATTTGAAGTTTTCATTGTGGTTTTTATTTTTTTTATTTAGCCATTTGGGGATATTTATTTTGCGGTGCCTTATTTATTTTTATATGCCTTAATATTCTATTCTGAACTAATCAGTGTGCATATATTCATGTATACATACGGTGTGTTATTAGTAAAGCCTGTATAAAACTTTATCATGTCTTGCCAAGTATTTATCCTACATTGTTGATGAACAAGCATTGTTAACTATTTTAAATTATTTCAAGAAATTCTCTAAATCTAAAGTATCTTGTCAAGTGATTTTAAAAATTACAAACACATTTAATGTGTATCACCATTGATGTTACCTTTTAAACTGAAGTCGCTAATTTGTAATCATGTTTAATCTAATGAATTTTAGATTATCCCAAGCACTTACTTTTCCTTCTTACAAAATAGCAATATAATTCAATAGAGAGCAGCATAGAACAAGTCCTGGATTCTTTCATAGATCCCTGTGGGAGAGATATTTCTTTTTCTCAAATTAATAATTCCCAGAAATTGGTGCTCTCAAGAAGTGCTTCCGTTTATGCAGACGTTTAACAGCAGAGATATCCCTCTTCGAATGCATATATAAAAAGATAAAAAGGCCGGGCGCGGTGGCTCACGTCTGTAATCCCAGCACTTAGGGAGGCCGAGGCGGGCGGATCACGAGGTCAGGAGTTCGAGACCATCCTGGCTAACACCGTGAAACCCCGTCTCTACTAAAAATACAAGAAATTAGCCGGGCTTGGCGGCGGGCGCCTGTAGTCCCAGCTACTCAGGAGGCTGAGGCAGGAGAACGGCGTGAACCCGGGAGGCGGAGCTTGCAGTGAGCCGAGATCACGCCACTGCACTCCAGCCTGGGCGCCAGAGCGACACTCCGTCTCAAAAAAAAAAAAAAAAAAAAAAAGGATAAAAAGCCACCGTTGATCTCCAGTGCATAGTGCATCTCAAAGTTTAGTGTAAACATGAGTCACCTAGGTATCCAGTTAAACTGCAGATTCTGACTCAGTAGGCTGGGCTGAGTGTGAAAGTGTGCCGAATGAGCTCCCAGGAGACGGTGATGCTGCCGCTCCATGGGCCATGCTTTCAGTAGCAAGAAGTAAAACACATTTCCCTCCCTCTTTTCTTTAGCTTTTCTTCATCTCAAGTGAGTTTCAAAAGCCCTAAAAATGCATTTCTAACATTATTCAGTTAGAAATCAAAATGCAGTTTATTAGGGAAAATTAATAGTCCTTCCTTCTAGTGTTATTTTATTTTAAATACATTTGAAATCATACCATTATACCATATTTCATGTTAGGATAGGTTAAATAGGCTCTGCTTGGCCACCTTGCAATTTAATCACCATTTACAGCCTTATCTCTTTGGGACTATAAATTCTAAAATCAAAACAACTGATTTAATAATGAACTCTTGAAACAATGTCCATTTATGAATTTGAATTTTACTGTATTTTATAAACTCAAATAAGCAATAACACCCCAAATGAACCAAGGAAAGAGTATGACAGGCAAGGTAAAATACTATGATATATAGTATTTAAATATATAGTCCATGAATGTACTAAACATAATTTATTCATATAATACAGAGCAATTATGGAAAATAATAAAAAGGAAATTGAGTTACAAAGGGAAATATTGTCAGAGTTTATAAAATACAATTTATATAGCAATTGGAATATATCACATTGCTAACGCATATTCTTAAAATGTTTACCTTAGTCAAATATATGTATTAATCCAATGTTTATTGAATACCTCCAATCTAGATAATACAAATAAGTATTAAAAATACAAATAAGTATTAAAAAATAGACATTCCAAGATCTCTATAAGTCTAATTAAAATGTTAACAAACAATATCAATGCAATGTGAATGGTGTCATTAGATCAGAATGACCAACACAGATGTGAGAAATTCTGCTTCCTAAAATCAGAGAGGGCTTTATTGTGGAGGTAGAACTGCCAGAATCTAGAAGGACAAGTGGTTTCTTTAACTGAAGAGGGAAACAATATTTTCAAGAGCACAGAGAGTGAAAATAGCTTTTCATGTTTAGGAATTAGCAACTAGGTCAGTGAGATCTCATCCCTTGGCATCTGGAGTGGGCTGTGCTGGAGGATAGAGCTGGGAAGGTAGATAATTGCCACAACCAGAAAGAATCTATGCCAGGTTAAGGAGCCTAAACTTACTCCTATAGTCTGAACTATTGGTTTTGACATTGGATATTTTATCGGCTGGAGTAGACAAAGACTTTCAAAGGACACCCAGGCAATATAGTCAAAGCCATATTTACACTTTTCTAAAACTGAGCTGAGAAAGAACCTGTATTAGTCAGGGTTCTCTAGAGGGTCAGAACTAATAAGATAGATGTATATGTAAATGGGAGTTTATTAAGGATTATTGACTCACACGATCACAAGGTAAGGTATCACGGCAGTCCGTCTGCAAGCTGAGGAGAAAGGAAGCCAGTCCAAGCCCCAAAGCTGAAGAACTTGGAGTCCAATGTTCAAGGGCAGGAAGCACCCAGCACGGGAGAAAGATGGGAAACTAAACCAGTCTAGTCTTTCCATGTTCTTTTGCTTGCTTTTATTCTGGCCGCACTGGCAGCTGATTAGATTGTGCCCACACAGATTGAGGGTGGGTCTACCTTTCCCAGTCCACTAACTCAAATGTTAGTCTCCTTTGGCAACACCCTCACAGACACACCCAGGAACAATACTTTGCATCTTTAAATCCAATCAATTTAACACTCAATATTAACCATCACAGAACCCATGCTAGTTTTCTTGCTCTCTTCCTTTTTTAAAAAAGAAAGACAACTACCTAGATCTTTCCCTGAATCAAAGATGACGATTGATATAATTCTTTCAATGTTGAGAAAATGACTAGTAATTCTAATAGCTGTATAACAAAACTGCTAACAAATTATATGCTTTTCATTTCCTGGATTTAGAGAATCTAGTTGAGTGGTGTATGGTAGACGCACCTGACAGCAATAACTTGACTTGCACATACCCTGAGAATGACCCTATGTGGAAGATTCGCCTGAATGTGTGTCCAGAACTTCTTTGCTAAGGAATCCGGGAGTGGTCAATCTGAGATTCATTCCTTATCAATGAGGAACATCTGAGCCCCTGGCCCTTCCCAAAGAACTTGGGCCACAGAGGAGATCAGCCCCTTTGTTTTGGGTTAAATGAAGGTTGCCAGGTAAAGGTTGTTACAGGGAGGGTGTTAAGTGAAAATGTCATATGAACTGCATGCCTTTTACAAGCAGTTGCAGTTCTGCCTGTCTTGCCACCACTGGGCCAGCAAGTCTCCTATCCAGCCCACTGCCACTGGGCTTTCTTCCTTCCCTGTATGTAAGCCCTCAATATATCTCCATGGCTCATTTGCTGGCTCTGGGTATCTTGGTCTGCCTCTTGAATCTGGTGCCATCCCCTTTGGAGTTGATAGGGGTTTAGCACAACAAGCTGTCATGTGATAGATTAACAACATATTTGATAGTAGATTGCCATGTGATTTTTGGAATGTGACTTTAGTACTCTATGTGGCCCACAATTGAATGATATTGCTCAGAAAATAGAAACAAAATACTTCTTCCATTTCCGTCTAGTTATACATTTGAACAAGTTATCCCAGTATTTCCATGCATAAAAAAATATAGAAAAGGGATTATACTAGGCCCTGTCTCCTAGCAGCCAGTAATATTTACCTGTAACTACATTAAATAATTGATAAAGCTGAATAAATGTCTTTAAAAGACACATTTCCAATAACCAAGTAAATATTAGTGACTTTTTTTAAAGTTTGAAGACTTTTGCCCTGGTAATAAAGAGCACTCAATGTTTACATGATCACATACTAATTTCAAACATACAAGTCTGGAGACAATATTAGAATTAAATGGAGAAATTGAAAACATACTGGCTACAATATTCTTGCAATAATTTGGATCGATTCTACACAGAACTTATTTTTACAAAATTAGATAATAGTTAATTAACTTAAATAACTTGTTTGATTATCTTATGCATCCTAGTAATATGACTTTCTTTGTTTCTGGATCTAATCAACCTTGTGACAGAAATGGCAGCTTGAGGCTGTTTTTCCAAATAGTTAGACAAAAACATGTTAGTAGAAAAACTACTTAAGGGTTTCAAAATATTTCTGTTAAATAGGAAGAAAGTCCAATTGATTTGACCTCTTTTCTCCTTGACTTTGCTTGGCCTGGCTCCCTGATTGAATGACATTCAAATTGTGGCAACATACACAAAGTTTTTCTTTCTTGAGCTTGACTCAATAAAATGTCCTCACTTTCCCTCTGAGTTTTGTGTGGAAAAGATTTCATCAAGTTACTGGTATAGTAATTTGTCTCTGTAACTTAATATCTACCAATTTACATTTAAAGTATCTGACAAATTATTGGCTTTATGATGCCTATAACACAGTACAAGTTGTAGTATAAAACTAATGCTAATGCAAAGCTGAGATACAGTAAATAAAGTACTACTAGTCTACAAGTAATGAGTAGCTAGATTGCAAGAAAATATAGGTTCATCATCAATTTCCATGTGTAACTAATTTACAAAATACTGACTTGAAGCAATTGGCTATATTTCAAATATTTCTATCAAAGTCAATGAAAAATTATTTAATGAGTTTTTCCCACATATCTGCTTTATTACTTTATGGTTTGTGAGGAAAGTTTTCAAAACAGGTTATTTGTCTATATAAATTCAGCTTCATTTGAAAAAAAAAAAGTTACCCTCAAATGATCATAAACTTGGAGACATGAATAAACTCAAAATCTGCAGCTAAAGTTTTCTTAAGTGAGAATCTTATAAACTCTATTGACAGAAATTACAATTTTTAAGCATGACAGAATGTGTGAACTAATTTGCATGAAAAAGATCATAAGCTTCACCTATGAAATAGTCATAATTGTTTCAATACACTCAGTATTGGCTTTCCTGCCAGACATTGTGCTCCTCAGTGCAGTTGTCTTCTCAGTAACCTCAGGTGCTCAATAAATGTTGGTTGACTAGAATTGTCAGTTGTCAGAAGACAATGCACCAAAGCGAAGGCCCCAAAAGCAGCCTCAGAAGCAAAAGTGTAGTTCTGACCTTCCCCTGCCCTTCTGTCTCTCAGTCCCATTCTCTCCTGAGTCTAGCCATAGAAACTAGAATCCTCTTCCCCAACTTGGGTCATAGAAATCGGACCCCTTTTTCCCAAAGCCAGCCATAAAACCTAAAAATATGACTCTTAACTGTTCCTCTGCCTTTCTATGTAAAAACTGGCCATACCCAGTAAGAAGGAATGCATTCTCAGAGAGGCCAAGAAAAATCTAGACAGATAGGCCTTGCTGGGTTTCCCCATTCCGTCTATCAGCATTAAATCATAGCCTTTTTGTGCAATTATATTTCTACATAGCTGTCTGTTCTTGGGTGAACCTAAGAAGAAAATGGACAATTTTCCTGATATCTTCAGTCCTCCATGCTAAAGGCTTCCATATCACATGAAACTATGATTACATAAATTTATATACCTTTTCTACTATTAATCTGCCTCTTGTCAGTGTTTGTTTTCAGCAAAACTTTACAGTGTGAGGGGGAAGTTTTTCCTTATCCTTGACACAGAGAAGTTAAACACTATGTGCAGTTGTTCAAAGACACTCACTCTTTTGACGGGTGCCAATATCAGGACAATGTATAAAACAAGTTGGGGTTATTTATAGTCTAAGTCCATAGAAACAATTCCTCCCACTCCCCATTGAAATGGACAAGAGGTAGAATGTCCAACTTCAAACTCATATGGCTCAGGTCCTAACCAATAAAGCAGATTAACCTCACTAAAGCACCTAAATATCAATTAAATTGTAAATAAATCTGCTGTAAGAAAATAAGTACCTTAAGTATTTAAATTATACTCTTAACATTATTAAATGCTTTCACACCTCTAATTTTATATGCTCTTAGAGGATTTTAGACCCTCTTGTCTAATTATGCTTTCCTATACAACATCAAAACCTAAACATCCAATTAACTTTCTCTTTTTAGTCATACATGATCAAAATCAATTCTAATAGTCATTGAGAACATACTTTGTACTTGGTGGTATGTTAGGTGCTAGGACTCAGTGGCAAGACATAATTCCTACCAGCAGAGCATGTACATCATAGCCCCCAGTGCAGATAATAATTAAATAATTAGCTGTTTTAATCACAGTTGTTATAACTGCTATAAAAGACCATTGTTACAATAAGAATGGGCATATGATCTAATCTACGAATTGAGGAAGACTTTCTTTGGGCATTCCTGGAACTGAAGTTTAAGTTGGTATTTGATGGATGAGAAACTGGCTAGGCAAAGGGTGAGGATAGAAGAGGGTGGTCTCTAAGCAGAGAATAAAATACCTTGTAAAAAAACAGTCTCACGTTATGGTTTCCAGAACCAAAAATTTGTTTCAAAAACATGTAATAGAACATATAAGTTCAATGATATTTTAACCAACTTGAAAAATATCAAAGTTATGCCTGAAAAGACTTGAATAATAGTTAAAAATTTGGTTTCACAATGAAAAAAAATTGCTTGTCAAAAATTATTTCACCTTGTCATTAATGTTTATGCGCTTATGAATACAAACCTGTCTTCGCTAACTATATGTACTGATTAAGCTTTGTACTCAGGCAGCTGCTATTCACACACAACTTGCACTACTTTCAATGAAGTCCTTTTTATAGAAATTTGTCACTGTTAATCACCAGTGAAAATGATATATACAGAAAGAATAAAGATAATCAGAAATTATTATTTTAATGTTTCAGGGTTTGAAAAGAAATATTTTTAATGGATGTAAAAATAACGTAGTTATTGCCACTGAGAAAATTTAATCTCCTTTGAGGTCTGTTTTATACCAATGAAAAGAAGACTTTTAGAAAATTTCTAAAACAGGATTATAAAAATATTATAATCAGGAAATGTTTTATGTAAAAAATTTTAACAGATAAATGGTCATATTAAACCAATTTTTAATGGAATATTCTTAAATTTGTTTGTATGGTGTGTCAGTTTAATGAGAGTAAGATAAAACTGAAGGGAACAAACAAAAACTGATCTTATTTATAGTCAGTTGTCTCTAGATACCTATGTATCATAAAATATATGATTGAGAATTTTGCAAGTTTTAAGATAACGTATTTATTGTTTTCACTTATTTATATGTATACTTTTATAAGCTCATACATATAATCACATTAAAAATATGTATACAATGTTAAAATAATGCTTACAAAGTATGAAATTTATTGAATTAGATATTTTATTTTAATAACTCAAGAAAGATTGGTTTGATTTCTTTTTTAATTAAAATATATCTTTAAGATTTTCCAAAATTCCATAACTTTTCTTATTAACATGGGATAAACGAACCATTACTTTTTCTTTTTTAATTATACTGTAAGTTTTAGGGTGCATGTGCACAATGTGCAGGTTTGTTACATATGTATACATGTGCCATGTTGGTGTGCTGCACCCAGTAACTCGTCATTTACATTAGGTATATCTCCTAATGCTATCCCTCCCACTCCCCCCACCCCACAACAGGCCCCAGTGTGTGATGTTCCCCTTCCTGTGTCCAAGTGTTCTCATTGTTCAATTCCCACCTATGAGTGAGAACATGCGGTGTTTGGTTTTTTGTCCTTGCGATGGTTTGCTGAGAATTATGGTTTCCAGCCTCATCCATGTCCCTACAAAGGACATGAACTCATCATTTTTTATGGCTGCATAGTATTCCATGGTGTATATGTGCCACATTTTCTTAATCCGGTCTATCATTGTTGGACATTTGGGTTGGTTCCAAGTCTTTGCTATTGTGAATAGTGCCGCTATAAACATACATGTGCATGTGTCTTTATAGCAGCATGATTTATCTGGGTATATACCCAGTAATGGGATGGCTGGGTCAAATGGTATTTCTAGTTCTAGATCCCTGAGGAATAGCCACCCTGACTTCCACAATGGTTGAACTAGTTTACAGTCCCACCAATAGTGTAAGTGTTCCTATTTCTCCACATCCTCTCCAGCACCTGTTGTTTCCTGACTTTTTAATGATCGCCATTCTAACTGGTGTGAGATGGTATCTCATTGTGGTTTTGATTTGCATTTCTCTGATGGTCAGTGATGATGAGCATTTTTTCATGTGTCTTTTGGCTGCATAAATGTCTTCTTTTGAGAAGTGTCTGTTCATATCCTTTGCCCACTTTTTGATGGGGTTGTTTGTTTTTTTCTTGTAAATTTGTACTTTGTCTTTTTATATTCTTCAGTGACTCTTGACAAACATGTACTGCTGAAATTGCAGGTGTCTGATAATCTTGCTCTTTATGTTGTTCCATATAACCTCAATATTGACACTAGTAGCAGTAAATATGAGATGATAAGTCTATGATGACTAGGCCTGCCCTCTCAAACTTCATGTTCACTCAAAAGGTCTGTATAAGCAGGCACACAAGGAAATATGTATAAAGTTATAAAAAGGTGAATGTATTACCTTGTTTGACCAGAATTTTCTAACGTTTTTACCAATTACCCCAAAAATATAATTAAGAAAACACCTTTCTTTCTCAAAAGAGTGCTGGGTTGGATGATAGGTCATATGGTCATCCAATTTATGAGCTGAGGTGCAGGGATAATTATGCAACTAAGTAATATGCCAACCACATCCAGCTTAAAAAAAGATTAAAGGAAGAAAGTCCAAAGATCTATTTTGTGGATATGTACGTTAAACATGATATATCCTTTAATGGAACTGACCCTATCTATAATCACATTAAATGTAATTGGCCTAAATACCCCAATTAAAAGGCAGAGATTGTCATGTTGGACAAAAAAAAAAGCAAAAAAAATACCAACTATATGTTGCTTATAAGAAACCCAATTTAAATATAAAAATGGCTAAAAATAAGAGTATAAAAAATATGTACTCTGCTACCAATAACTACAAATCTGGACTGGCTAAATGGCTATATTAATATTAGAGAAAGTAAATTTTATAACAAAAATATTAAGAGGTTCATGTCTTAATGACAAGCAGGTTATTAAAATGACATAATAATTCTAGACATTTATATATCTCATAACAGAGCTTCAAAATACATACAGCACAAACTGACAGGCTGCAAGGAAAAAACAGACAAATCATCCAGTATAGTCAGAGATTTCAATAACCCATGTCAATAACTGATAGAACAATGGTAACTCAGTAAGAATATAAATAATACGAACAATTCTAACGATCAATTTTATCTAATTTATGTTTATAAAATACTCTATCCAACAGAAGCAGACTACACATTCTTCACAAGTATATGCAGAAACATATTCTTGTCCATAAAACAAGTCACAATAATTGAAAAGGATTTAAGTCATACAATGTATAATTTCTGAACACAGTGGAATTAAATTAGAAATAAATAAGAAGAATATATCATGAAAATCTCCAAACATCTGAAAACAAAAAACACAATTCTAAGTAACGCATGGGTCAAAGAAGAAATTAAATGAAAAATTAAGAAGTATTTTGATCTTAATGAAAATGAAAATAAAATATATAACAATTTATGGGATGTCACTAAAGTAGAAATTAAAAGAAAATGCACAACATTAAATATCTAGTGAGATATTTAGTGAGAAAAGAAGAAAAACTTCAAAATCACGGGCTCATCTCCCACAGTAAGAATGCAATCACAATCAAAGATCCAGCAGGATTTGTTTTTTGTCTTGTTCAGGTTTTTCTTGGTAGATATTAAGAAGCTGATTCTGAAATTGGTATAGAAATGCCAATGATTTGGAATATACAAAATAACTTAGAAAAAGATAAAGTTGGAAAAATATACTATGTCATTTCAAGACATTACAAAAATACAGTAATTAACACAGTGTAACATCGACATCAAGATAGACAAACAGATCAACAGAAGAAGGGTCCAGATATAGCTTCCAAATATATAAGCAAGTAAATTTATACAAAGGTGCAAAGGGGATTCAGTGAAGAAAGAAGAATTTTACCAACAAATGGTGCAGAAACAATTGGTTACCCATGCAAAAACATATGAACTGGGATCCAAAATTTAAACCATATAAAAAAGTAACTCAAAATGTGTCATATATACCTAAATGACAAATATACAAATATAAAACCTAAAATTCTACAATTTCTATATGAAAACATAGAACAAATTATTTTTTCTTTGGATTAGGCCAAGATTTCTTAGCCATTACACCAAAAGCACAATACATAAAAGAAAAAATTAATAATATAAACTTCAAAAATAAAAACTTCTGCTCTTTAAAACACACTCTAAGGAACATGAAAAGGTAAACCTCAGAATGGGAAAATATTTATAAATTATATAACCCATAAAGTATATCTACCTAGAGCATATGTATTAAAAAAATCAAAACTCAATAATAAGAAAGCAAACTATGGGGGCTTGCCCCCTAAAGTTTTGCTGAAAAATCACTGACATGAGGCATATTGATTAGTAGGAGGAAAGGCACACAAATTTATTTAACATGTATACATGAGAGCCTTCAAGATGATGACCCAACCCACCAGTAAGGTACAGAAACTTATATACTATTTTGAAGTTATAGAAAGTTATAGAAAGAATGCAGGCTCAGAGTATGGCCCAAAGCAGGTTATTTTGATATATTAGGTTTAGTGGCAAGACAGGAAAGCAAGGAAATTCCTTGTGGGCCTCAAGATCTTTACCCTAAAATAGTTCTGCTGAATTTCACACTGGCAATGTAAATTGATAGCTTATCTTCACAAGTGCAGGACAAAGGACAGAACTCATAGTCATTCTTCTGCTCACCAGAGACAAATGCATACCTGATTGATTCTTCTGCCTTATTGTTTATGTAGAAATGCAGATTCACTAAGCTAGACTAAGCCATAAGAGACTATTACCTTACCCCCTTCTCACATATAAATCGTGTATTCAGTGAAAGGCTGATCAAAGACTGAAAAGAATGCAACCATTTGTCTTTTATCTACCTATCACCTTGAAGCACCCCCCAACACTTGCCCCCACTTCGAGTTGTCCCGCCTTTCCAGACTGAACCAATGTACATCTTACACATATTGATTGATGTCTCATGTCTCTCTACAATGTATAAAAGCAACCTGTATCCCAGCCACCTTGGGCATATGTCATCAGGCCCTCCTGAGGCTGTGTCATGGATGCATCCTTAACCTCGGCAAAATAAGCTTCATAAATTGATTGAGGCTTGTATCAGATACTTTTAGTTCATACTTACTAGATGTGAAAAGTCAAATTTCTTCACAAGAAAAAAAAAGGGATCCACTAACACTATGGGAATTACAAGTGATGAAGGAAATTAAACGCCACAGCAGTTCTCACATTATCATTATCCCCAACCTAAATTAGATAGAGTTTTTTGATCTCCATTGGTATCCATGCAGTTTATTATTATTTACAAACCTAGTAACCTCTGAACTTTTCATACATAAATATTTTTCCTTTACTTCTTTTCTAGACTAGACCATTTATTAAATTGCAAAATGAAACAGCTCATTTGGTTAAAGCATATATTATGCTCCTGACTTAAAACAAATTGAGCTTTTAATATAGACACTAATCTTAACATGCAGCATAAATAACTGAAGGGTAGAAAGTGGAATGAAACAAAATGCTTAATTTACACAATATTACATAATGCATTGCTAAGGTAACCTTTGGCTTATAGAGTTACTTTCTGGAAGATAGAACAAAGTGCATTAGTGCCATCTCCTGGCTAGTATAATGATCCTGAAGATGTGTAAATTTCGAGGAAGTCCCTTAACTTAATAGGTAGTTCATATTTACTAAAATGATAAAGAGAGGGGCGAGAAGCATACAGATTTTTCCTTTAATGGTAATGTTTCTTAAACAGTAATTATGAAGATTAAATATTTCTATACCAAGCTATTATTTTTTCTTTTTACTTTTTAGTACTTTGCCTCAACTTATATCATGAAATGTTGTAGTTTTAATATATTTATGTAACATATATTTATATAAATACTAATTATAATTATATAACATGTATTTACATATTTATATGTTATAAATATAGTTTATATTTAGTAAATAAGAATATATACTGAACTTATAGGGCCATATATAAATTATATCATGTTATATTAACTTCCTAATTAAATGAGTAAGGATTCATGCTTCATGAAAACCTCTCTTATGTAATTTATAAAAGTAATTAAGTAGAATGGGAGGGAAAACTATTAGAATCATGAGCTGAGGGTCTGACATTCCCAGACCCGCATTTTCTGTTCTTGTTTAAGGAAATGTTTTCCAGTGGAAGATCTTTAATGGTTTTATTTATTTATTTATTATGCCTGATTTTTATCAAAAAGATTATTGCTGTAAGCTCCACAGTCCCACATACTCAAATTTGCCTATTTCTTCATATTTTTAATTCAATAGAGATGTTATGCAGAAGTGCATTTTATCATTTTTCCATTTAAAGTTTTGGATGCTTTTCACTGCTTTCCCTTTAAATTACTAATAATATACATACATTTCATAAAATGATAACAAACGTATACTCGATAAAATATTGTTGCCTAAATTACTAATTAGGAATTGCTAAAATTGAATAAGTCAAAGGACTAGAAAATCTTCAGTGAATGTAATCACTGTTCATGAATGTAAAAAGGTTTTTCTTTTTGTTCAAAGATGTACCCACAACACCTAAAACAATATCTGATATATAGTAAGTGTTCAGTGTATATTTATTGACTTCTTAATAAAAGAGATATTTGGACATGAAAATTTTCTAATAAATAATAAAATTAATATACAGTTAGGTCTGGAAGTTTTGTTTGAACTATATTATTTCTTACATCAGAATATTTTAAATAGAATGTACATATACAAAAACATACATACAATTCATAAGCTACATTAATTTACAAATAAGCTCTTAATATAAAGTTCTATGTTTGGTCATCTTCTTTTCTGTCTGCTCACTTCCTCTTAGAAATTTTGTTCATCCTCGACATTTTAAACAGCTCCTCTATGTAGATGACTCCAAAATCTCCACCTACAGCCACATGCCCTCTTCTATGCTCTAGACCCAAACCACATTTTTCAAACTTCCTACTAGATATGCCTGTATATATACCTAGTATATCTGCTAAGTGTACTTGTTCTACAAACACTTCAACCTGATTATAACATCAAGCCATCCTTTCAGCTAATAAAACTTGAAATTCTATTAAACTTCATAAACATGTCCCCCACTTCAGACACCATACATACAAAGACATAGCAGACACACAGACACACAGACACACAGACACACACACACACACACACACACACCCCACTTTCCATTCTTGCTGTCATATGCCCAGTTAAAATATTGATTAATTTTCACCTAGCCACAGTCAGTAATCAGCCACATGGCTATGAAGACTTTGGTGTCTCCTCACTGCATCGCCTTCTAATTCCTACTGCCATTTTGATCATCCTAGAGCAGCGTTGCCTCAAAGTATCTTAAGCAAAATACTAGTTCACTGTGTTAGGTGAATAAAAGTCTCTGGCCAAATAAGTTATGGAAAAACTAGACTTTTTTAAAGTTAAAATTTATATATTTACGGAAGAGGCTAAAATATACTAATGTGAAAGTGAGCTTTCAATAAGAGAAAATACCATGCAGTTTTTCCCTCTCTTACTTGGATTTTAAACTTTTTAAAGTGAAATCATCTCTTGTAACAATGTTCCATAGAAGATGCTTTGGAAAGTGCTGCTATATAGCATCATTGTAAGAACTTCTCTTCTCTGTTCAAAAATATAATGGCAAAGAGAGTATACTCCAGAAATTTGCTGTTCAGTAAGCCAACTACTAAGCAAGGTGTGGCTATTTAAATGTAAATAATCAATAGTCACTAGTGACATTTCAAGTGCTCAGCAGCCACATGGGGCTAGTGGCTGCCATAACAGACAACACAGATACAGAACATTTCCATCATCACAGAAAGTTCTACTGGACAGTGTTGCTCCAGAGAAAGACTGAGTTCAACCATTTAGTAGTTGTTTGACATAGGACAAGATTCTAAACTATTCAGGATCTCTGTTTCCTTATCTATGCACTAAGGATAATTATAGAATCAACTCACAGAGCTAATTGTGTAGAAAAAGAAACTTGGTACACTGTTTGTGAGAATGTAGATTGGTACAGCCATTACAGAAAATAGTACATAGGTTCATAAAGAAATTGAAGATGGAACTACCACATGACTCAGCAATCCCTCTTCTGAGTGCATACTCAAAGGAAATGAAATTTCTGACTCACAAGGATACCTGCACTCCCATTTTCACTGCAGAATTATTCAAAATAGCCAAGATATGTGATATGATTTGGCTGTGTCCCCACCAAAATCTCAACTTGAATCCTATGTGTTGTGGGAGGGACCTGGTGGGAGGTAATTGAATCATGGGTGTGGGTCTTTCCCATGCTGTTCTTGTGATAGTGAATAAGTCTCACAAGATCTGATGGTTTTAAAAACGGGAGTTTCCCTACACGAGATCTCTCTTTGCCTACCACCATCCATGTAAGACGTTAACTGGCTCCTCCTTGCCTTCCACCATAAGTGTGAGGCCCCCCAGCCATGTGGAACTACAAGTTCATTTAACCTCTTTTTCTTCCCAGTCTTGGGTGTGTCTTTATCAGCAGCACGAAAATTGACTAATACAATATGGAAACAACTTAAGTGTCTGTCAACAGATGAACTGATAAAGAAACTGCAGTGCATGTATACAATAAAGTATTATTCAGCCTCAAAAAATAATTGAGAATTAGACTTGTCAATTGCCACAACATGAATAAGCCTGAAAGATATGCTAAATAAAATAAGCCAGACACAGAAAGAAACATATTGCATGATCTCTCTTATATGTAGAATCTAAAAAAAGACAAAAGCATTCAAGTATACAGAGATAGATAATAAAGCAGTGGTTACCGGGGTGGAACAGGAAATGGAGAGATACAGTTCAGTGGATACAAAGTAGCAGATATGTAGGAGAAACAAGTCTAGAGATCTAATGTACAACATGAGGACTATAGATAATATAATTTCACTGTACATGAGATTCATACTAAATGAAAATTTAGCTGCTCTTGCCACAAAAAAACACAAAAGATGAGTAAGTATGTGAGATGATGGGTATGTTGATTTGCTATACTACACTAACTTTTTACTATCCACATATATCCCATAATACCATATTGTATGCCTTATATCTACACAATAAATTCATTTACTATAATAAAAAAAGAAATGAGCTAATACATGTGAGGTACTTAGAATAGGATGTGACATAGAGTAATAATTCAGTAGATGTTAAGCAATAGCATTCATTAGTATTATTAAAGTCGTTCTTCATCACCTAGTGGGTAAAAACCAAACTTTTAAATCTGCTATTCAAATCCTTTTTTTATCTGTCCCACTTGTCTTTTAGCCTTTCTTTCTGCTATTTCATTATATTCAGCTTGGCTTCTAATCAAAATCTCACATCCAGTAAATATCTCATAAATAGCAGGCTCCATACCTTTGATATAATTGTCTCCTTTGCTGGTAATGCCTCCTATCATCGCCACATCTAGATTCTGCTCAAGTCAAGATCAAATTTTACCTTCACTGCAAACCAAGAAAGGAACTGTCATGCCCCTTACTCTGATGGCTTGCCCTCTGAATCTGTTTTTGGAAAACCCAATCTTATTTAATAGTTATGTGTATGTACACCTTATATCTTTTACATAATTGTCCTATACACCATAGTATATCTTATACACTGTGAAGATAATCAGTAAACATGTTCTAAATTAATAAATCATATTTTAATATAAAGACACTGGCTTTGCAGAGTTCAGCCCCTTACTCTATTAAGTGACATAGGCTATTTGCAATTGTACCTTCTATGATATTTACTATCTTTATATGAGTTTAAAATTTACTCTTTAATATACATGTGAATGCTAAGGAGAAAATTTGTTTTTCCAATAAGAAAAAAAAAGGAGCTCAAAGCAAGTTATTGGATCAACAGAATATTAAAATCCAATAAACCGTGTTAATATAAACACACATTTAACTTTTAGAAAGTGTCTTGAACCCCCATCTTCAAATGATTGTTTCTAACAAATTTTATTCTGAGATAGAAATAAAAGTAAAAACAGTATTCTTCTTTGATATAAATTATCACTGAAATTTGGGTATACTTTGCCTGTTTTAAATGCTGGTCATCAAGTGACAGAGAGAAAATGACAAGAACATTTTCATTCTGAATGAGCATAGAATGTAATTTCATGAATGTAAAACACTTTAAAAAAATTTAAAAAGTCAATACACTAATTAAAAGTGCAGTTGGGCATGAGTAATCCAGATAGCTAGCAATATTTATAGATGCAATCTTTACATTGGACAAGCCAAATAATATATCCAATGTACCAGAACTTTTTTATTGTTAAAGATTGATTAATAGGAATTTTCAACTCCTTTTAGAATGCATTCAACATTTGTGAATGGAACGAAATAATCAGTTTCCAAGAGGGCTTTAAAATCTCTTAAGGATGAACATCCCACTATAACTTTACTATGACAGTGATAGGTAGTAAGAGCTCAATCATTGATATAAAGATGTTAATAATGGTAATAATTCATAATGTAGGTATGTTTCTACTGTTTAAATCAGCTCTTTGTTTTACACATTTTGTTGCCAGAAAGGTGAACAGTTTAAAAACATTTAGAATTTTCATCTCCATATATATTAAATTCAGAAGGAAAATGGGTAATTAAAATTGATTAAAGATGTGCTCTAGATATGATATCAAAAAAAGATTAGAGAGACAGACAGAGACAGATGCATTTATTATCTGAATTACTAAGATAAATAATTTCATATGCAAATTTGTCATTGCCTCAAACTATCATTTACTACTTAATGCAAAATAGTTTAATCAAAAGCCATCCTTTGCTTTTCTCCTGTCCCATCAAAGCTTTTCCTCTTCTTGGGCAAACACCTCAGGTAGTTGTTGAAGTGAAAAACAACAACAACAACAAACCCATGTTTTTATGCATTGAGCTGAAATGTATATTAAGTCCTACCCTAAATAAAATTGCGAAGTGAAACTTGGCACCCTTCAAATTTTCTAATGCTAAATGACTCTCCTCCATCAGAAACACCAACATCACACTGAAAACAATTTAAACTCTGTGTTTGAATTTTAAAAAAGAAAGAAAAACTTCTAATACTCCACTGAGTACTTAATTTGGGTGGGCTTAATTTAAAAGATTTAGAAAAAAATATATATTTAGCCAACTTCATGAGACATATAAAAGGAGAGAGATGTGTAACTATAATATATATAAGAAATATTACTTTATGGCTATGGATATTTTAATATGACTTACAGAATCCATTTTTATAACTTTAATCTTTACAATTACTACTATATATAATTTGGAGTAAAAAAATGTGCGTGATGTGGTTCTGTTGGGACATACATCAACTCTTTTTTTAATAAAAATAAATTATTATAATTAAACTTTACTAATTTTCTCTTCCACAAAGTTGGTATAAATTCTGAGACTGTACTCAATTGTATAGTTTACAAAGTATTTATCTGAGGAAAATAACTGCATATTTGTTTTCCTTGCAGAGTTTAATTTTTAGAAAAACATCACTTACACAACAGTAAGTGATGCTAGAGGTTACATAACCCAGAAAAATGATAGTAAATGCCAGATACCATAGGATTTGGGGAGGTGGAGTTGGCTGACATACACACAGCAGACTTCCAGGGAGAAGAGAGCTATGCAGAAAAAGAGCTCCAGACATCTGCATAGGCATCCTCCTCATTATTTGCTGAGTAATGACAGGGCATACACACAGTTAAACTCCCAAAGTGGGGCAAAGAAAAACAGAGGAGTCTTAAACTCAACAATTTCCACACATTATATCTCCAACTTCCCAGTATGGAGAGTTTTCAGTCATTCTCCAAGACATTCAAACATTCAGTGGGATCCCCAGAATGATCAAAGACTATAAATATGTAGAGGCTGGGGGCTGGGAAGGTATATGCATATATATAAATACACATTTCATCATAGAACATATTCATGATATATATGTGTGTATGTGTGTATATATATTATGTATATCTATATGTAAACATTTTATGTACATATATACAGAAAGAGAAAGAACGAATAAGCAGTTATCTATTTAATAATCCAAACTCCAAAAAAAATTATTCTCTAGGTTACTGAAATTCTTCCTAAGCTGCTATTTATTCAATCACTGTTGTGTTTATAGGCTTTTTTCCTTTCAAATGAAAACAGTCCTGGTAAGCATAATTAAGCCATTAACACCTTGGCCTAGCTGAGTTTCTGAGATCACAGAAGAAAGGCCTTTACGAGACGCTGAATAGAGGTAAGTATTTTACCCTGACAATCAGGGAGGACCAAGTCTCCTGGTTCCAGACTATCTATCTATCCAAAGGCATAGTTTTAGCTCTGCAAATGTGATTAGATTACACTCTCTACTAATGAAGAGAGCTTAAGAATTGCAATGTGCCACATAATCAATTGCTAATTTCTAAATGGAATTTTAACAGCATGTGGTCATTAAGTTTTTATAATCCTTAAATTAGTTGAAAAGTGAACAAGTCAGTTCATGACCATTTTTTTATGTCTACATGCCAATCAGCCATACAAATGAATTTTCAAACAGAACTAACCATTTTTTGGTTTCCTACTAATCAGGATATCATATCTCATCCCATCTAGTCTAATCATCCTGCCTTCCTTCATATCTGAGACTATTTTCTGTGAATCAGTTTTTGTATGCCAAAAAACTCATAAACGCCCCCTCCAAAATTTTAAAAGGATATTATACAAAGAAAAAAATTACACAGCATTGCTTGAAAAGTCCAAAACTATTTACAATTGAATAATTTAATAAACAATATTATTTATTGAGTGTGTGCTAGGTGTATGGCACAATTCTGACTTGCCTGATTCACATACAAACCTATAGGGAAGGCACTATTATTTTAATACACACTTTGTCAACCAGGAAACTGTGATGAGGCAATTTTAAATAACATTAAGGTTATTTTTGTATTTAATAGCCAAGTAGATACAGTCATTCTATCTAAATTTCCCGGTGTTTGAAGTATTATTTTGACAGAAAAACCCTCTCAAAATAGAAACTGATAACTGTTAATACTGTAAGAATTTGAAATAGTAATTATCCCACAGCTAATCAAATTTGAAAGTGGAGACTGCAGCACAGTGGGTTTTTTCAATCTGCTTGCTAAAAATCAAGCCCAGGCTCATTTTATCCTTTAGGAAACCTACAATCCATGGTGTCCATCAACACTGTCAAAACAAACTTTCCCAGCAGAGTAACGAAACTCTGACCAATTCTATCAGCTCTTCATCACTCAGGAAGGATTGCTTTCACAAGTGTAGTCTGATCTCTGCCCCACCAGTAAGAATATCAGACCATATTTATGCCAGAAGATCTTTAAATAATTTTGATGAGAAACATTTTCACCAACTGCATTCTGATCTCTAATCTTTGGCACATTTCCTTATAGATAAATATCAGCATAATGTTGAAAAAAATAATTTTGCAAACAATTTAGTAATTTTTACCTATTGAAAGTTCTAATCCATTTGAAAAATGATCCCATGGATTGTACTTTTAAAAGGGCTAAGAATGCAGCACTTATGGATGCTGTAGATAATTTGTTTTTGTGTTTGTCTTTTATATTCTTCAAACTCTGGGATCATTATCTGCTTGCCTCAACATTGCAGAACAGTGAGCTAACTCAACATAGACCAAAATTAGAAGTGCTACTATACAAAAATTGCAGTTTCAAATGTAAACAAATATAAAACATTTTGAGCAACACCTATGTGGCAACTTCAATTCTGTATGCTCTTTGGTACTTTACCTAGGTTTTTAGTTTTGTTTCCTAAATACTGATAGCCCCAGATTGCAGACCATTTCTCTTAAGCAAGCTCAAGATAATCTACAGTACAATAAAACTTACATATAAAGAAAGTTTCTGGATATTACCATGAAACTTTTTATAATTGGATTTTAGCTGCTATTTAAATTATTGGGTATAAATTCTTCTTTTACTAGAGTGAAAATTGGACAGTTATTATCTGTAATTCTTAGTCACTCAGGTTCCAGGACAGGACTCAGGCTGATTCAGAAAAGCCAATAACTCTGCTCTCATGGCAAACACTGTTCAACTCTGAGGAAAATTACTCTCCTTATCACTTGACCGTGTATCTTCAAAACAAAAGACAACTGAGTTTAAATGCCATAAAAGTTTAAGAATTGTACTATTGCTAACACAGGTGATTAGAATTGTTGAGAAGATTTGAGTGTTGAAACATTTAGGAAAGAGGACAGACAAATTTGTTAACGTCAAATCCTTCCTCACAAAAAGCATGAATGAAATGAATTCTTGCATGCGATATTTTCTAATAGTGCCAAGTGTCCATTTTCTTGCTTCTCATTTTGTTTCGGAAAATTGTTTGGGTTATCTCATTGTCAGGAAACAATTGTGTTTCTAGAGATAGTCACAAATTACAGCAGTATTTGCAACATTTGTACATGGCAGCTGGAAAATATTTTGCAATTGAAACAATTCATATTACTATTTAAGTTGTATATATGTAAAACTCTCAATAAATTAGGTATTGATGGGACATATTTCAAAATAATAAGAGCTATTTATGACAAACACACAACCAATATCATACTGAATGGGTAAAAACTGGAAACATTCCCTTTGAAAACTGGCACAAGACAGGGATGCCCTCTCTCACCACTCCTATTCAACATAGTGTTAGAAGTTCTGGCCAGGGCAATCAGGCAGGAGAAGGAAATAAAGGGTATTCAATTAGGAAAAGAGGAAGTCAAATTGTTCCTGTTTGCAGACAACATGATTGTATATCTAGAAAACCCCATTGTCTCAGCCCAAAATCTCCTTAAGCTGATAAGCAACTTCAGCAAAGTCTCAGGATACAAAATCAATGTACAAAAATCACAAGCATTCTTATACACCAATAACAGACAAACAGAGAGCCAAATCATGAGTGAACTCCCATTCACAACTGCTTCAAAGAGAATATAATACCTAGGAATCCAACTTACAAGGAATGTGAAGGACCTCTTCAAGGAGAACTAGAAACCACTGCTCAAGGAAATAAAAGAGGATACAAACAAATGGAAGAACATTCCATGCTCATGGGTAGGAAGAATCAATATCGTGAAAATGGCCATACTGCCCAAGGTAATTTACAGATTCAATGCCATCCCCATCAAGCTACCAATGACTTTCTTCACAGAATTGGAAAAAACTACTTTAAAGTTCATATGGAACCAAAAAAGAGCCCGCATCGCCAAGGCAATCCTAAGCCAAAAGAACAAAGCTGGAGGCATCACACTACCTGACTTCAAACTATACTACAAGGCTACAGTAACCAAAACAGCATGGTACTGGTACCAAAACAGAGATATAGATCAATGGAACAGAACAGAGCCCTCAGAAATAACGCCGCATATCTACAACTATCTGATCTTTGACAAACCTGAGAAAAACAAGCAATGGGGAAAGGATTCCCTATTTAATAAATGGTGCTGGGAAAACTGGCTAGCCATATGTAGAAAGCTGAAACTGGATCCCTTCCTTACACCTTATACAAAAATTAATTCAAGATGGATTAAAGACTTAAACGTTTGACCTAAAACCATAAAAACCCTAGAAGAAAACCTAGGCATTACCATTCAGGACATAGGCATGGTCAAGGACTTCATGTCTAAAACACCAAAAGCAATGGCAACAAAAGCCAAAATTGACAAATGGGATCTAATTAAACTAAAGAGCTTCTGCACAGCAAAAGAAACTACCATCAGAGTGGACAGGCATCCTACAAAATGGGAGAAAATTTTCGCAACCTGCTCATCTGACAAACAGCTAATATCCAGAATCTACAATGAACTCAAACAAATTTACAAGAAAAAAACAAACAACCCCATCAAAAAGTGGGTGAAGGATATGAACAGACACTTCTCAAAAGAAGACATTTATGCAGCCAAAAAACACATGAAAAAATGCTCACCATCACTGGCCATCAGAGAAATGCAAATCAAAATCACAATGAGATACCATCTCACACTAGTTAGAATGGCGATCATTAAAAAGTCAGGAAACAACAGGTGCTGGAGAGGATGTGGAGAAATAGGAACACTTTTACACTATTGGTGGGACTGTAAACTAGTTCAACCATTGTGGAAGTCAGGGTGGCGATTCCTCAGGGATCTAGAACTAGAAATACCATTTGACCCAGTCATCCCATTACTGGGTATATACCGAAAGGACTATAAATCATGCTGTTATAAAGACACATGCATACGTATGTTTATTGTGGCATTATTCACAATAGCAAAGACTTGGAACCAACCCAAATGTCCAACAATGATAGACTGGATTAAGAAAATGTGGCACATATACACCATGGAATACTATGCAGCCATAAAAAATGATGAGTTCATGTCCTTTGTAGGGACATGGATGAAATTGGAAATCATCATTCTCAGTAAACTATCGCAAGGACAAAAAAACCAAACACCGCATATTCTCACTCATAGGTGGGAATTGAACAATAAGAACACATGGACACAGGAAGGGGAACATCACACTCTGGGGACTGTTGTGGGGTGGGGGGAGGGGGGAGGGATAGCATTGGGAGAGATACCTAATGCTAGATGACGAGTTAGTGGGTGCAGCGCACCAGCATGGCACGTGTATACATATGTAACTAACCTGCACATTGTGCACATGTACCCTAAAACTTAAAGTATAATAATAATAATAATAATAATAATAAAGAAAAAAGAAAAAAGAAAAAAAAGAAAATTCTAAAAAAAAAAAAAGGAACATGCATGGATCTATATATTTTAGTCTTGATGGGCATTGAATGCGCCTTCCCAATTCTCCACATCCTTGTCAATAATTGTGAGTCTTTTGAATTTTAGCCTTTTGGTAATGGCTTAATTTCAAAAATGTATACCTTTCCTTTTAATGGTAAAGGGAAAGGTGTAAAATAAGAATTTGGCCTTAAATATGGAAGGATTCATGGCACAAAAAGAATGTTTCCAAATTTAAGACAAAATTAGTCTGAATTTGTTACTAGATGAAATTGTCTTAACAATAGCTAGAGCTCTGATATTCATTGGAGCAACTCAAAGACAGAATATGATATTTTATGGCTCTACCTGAAGATGAAAAAATCTTTAGTGAATATCAAATTTGAGCTCATAACAACTTGCAGACATACAAAAAGGATGTCAACTACCCATTGTGTCTAGGAAGTAACTAACTCTTCAATAAATGGTGCTGGGAAAACTGGATACCTGTATAAGTCCATGCTCACACTGCTAATAAAGACATACTCAAGACTGGTTAATTTATAAAGAAAAGAGGTTTAATTGACTCACAGTTTCACATGGCTAGGGAGGCCTCAGGAAACGTATAACCATGGCAGAAAGGGAAGCAAACACATCCTTCTTCACATGGTGGCAGGAAGGAGAAGTGCAGAGCAAAAGGGGAAAAAGCCCCTTATAAAACCATCAGATCTCATGAGAACTCACTCACTATCACAAGAACAGCATGAGGGTAACCCCCCCATGACTAAATTACCTCCCACCAGGCCCCACCCATAGCACATGGGGATTATAGGAACTACAATTCAAGATGAGATTTAGGTGGGGACACAGTCAAACCATATCAATATCCATTTGCGAAGAATGAAACTAGTACACTATATCTCAACATATACAAAAATCAAATCGAAATGGATCAAAGACATAAATCTAAGACCTCAAACTATGAAACTACAAGAGGAAAACATTGGGGAGAATCTCCAGGACATTGGTCTGGGCAAAAGCATCGTGATCAATACCCCACAAGCACAGGCAACCAAAGCAAAAGACAAATAGGATCACATCAAGTTAAAGAGTTTCTTCGGAGCAAAGAAAATAATAAACAAAGTGAAGAGAAAACCCACAGAATGGGAGAAAATATTTGCAAACTTCCCATCTGACAAAGGACTAATAACCAGAATATATAAGGAGCTCAAACAACTCTATTGGAAAAAAAATCTAATAATCTGATAAAAAAAATTGGCAAAAATTTGAATAGACATTTCTCAAAAAAGACATATAAGTGGCAAATAGGCATATGAAAAGGTGCTCACCATCATAGATCATCAGAGAAATGCAAATAAAAACTACAATGAGATATCATCTCACCCCAGTTAAAATGGCTTATATCCAAAAGACAATAACAAATACTGTTAAGAAAGTGGAGGTAAAGGAATCCTCATACACAGTTGGTGGGAATGTAAATTAGTACGACCACTATAGAGAACAATTCGAAGGTTCCTCAAAAAACTAAAACTAGAGCTACTAGTTGATGTAGCAATCCCACTGCTGGGTATATACCTATATTATTCTGTTTTCACACTGCTGACAAAGACATACCTGAGACTGGGAAGAAAAAGAGGTTTAATTGGACTTACAGTTTCACATGGCTGGGGAGGCCTCAGAAACATGGCAGGAGGTGAAAGGCACTTCTTACATGATGCAGCAAGAAAAAAATGAGGAAAAAGCAAAAGTAGAAACCCCTGATAAACCCATCAGATCTTGTGAGACTTATTCACTATCATGAGAATAGCATGGGAATGACTGGCCCCCATGATTCAATTACCTCCCCCTGAATCCCTCCCACAACACATGGGAATTCTGGGAGATACAATTCAACTTGAGATTCAGGTGGGGACACAGCCAAACCATATCATTCCACCCCTGTCCCCTCCAAATCTCATGTCCTCAAATTTCAAAACAAATCATGCCTTCCCAACAGTCCCCCAAAGTCTCAACTCATTTCAGCATTAACCCAAAAATCCACTGTCCAAAGTCACATCTGAGACAAGGCAAGTCCCTTCTGCCTATGAGCCTGGAAAATCAAAAGCAAGCTATTTACTTCCTATATACAATGGAGGTACAGGTATTGGGTAAATACAGGCATTCCAAATGGGAGAAGCTGGCTAAAACCAAGGGCTTACAGGACCCATGCAAGTCCAAAATCCAGCACAGCAGTCAAATTTTAAAGCTCCAAAATGACCTACTTCGACTCCATGTCTCATATCCAGGTCATGCTGATGCAAAAGGTGGGTTCCTATGGTCTTGGGCAGCTCCACCCCTGTGGCTTTGCAGGGTACAGTCTCCCTCCCAGCTGCTTTCACAGGCTGGCATTCAGTGTCTGTGGCTTTTCCAGGTGCATGGTGCAAGCTGTCGATGGATCTACCATTCTGGGGTCTGGAGGATGGTGGTCTTCTTCTCACAGCTCCACTAGGCAGTGCCCCAGGAGGGACTCTGTGTAAAGGCTCCAATCCCACATTTCCCTTTCTCACTGCCCTAGCAGAGGTTCTCCATGAGGACCCCGCCTCCTCGGCAAATTTCTGCCTGGGCATCCAGGCATTTCCATACATCTTCTGAAATCTAGGAGGAGGTTCCCAAACCTCAATTCTTGACTTCTGTGCACCTGCAGGCTCAACACCACATGGAAGCTGTGAAGGCTTGGGGCTTCCACCTTCTGAAGCCACAGCCCAAGCTGTATATTGGCCCCTTTCAGCCATGGCTGGAGTGGCTGGAACACAGGGTTCCTAAGCTGCACACAGCACAAGGACCCTGAGCCCAGCCCATGAAACCACTTTTTCCTCCTGGGCCTCTGGACTTCTGATGGGAGGGGCTGCTGTGAAGGTCTCTGACATGGCCTGGAGCCATTTTCCCCAAGGTCTTGGGGATTAACATTAGGCTCCTTGCTACTTATGCAAATTTATGCAGCCAGTTTGAACTTCTCCCCAAAAAATGGGTTTTTCTTTTCTATCACATTGTCAGACTGCAAATTTTCCAAACTTTTTTGCTCTGTTTCCCTTTGAAAACTAAATGCTTTTAACACACCCAAGTCACATCTTGAATGCTTGGCTGTTTAGGAACCTTTCCCACCAGATACACTAAATCATCTCTCTTAAGTTCAAAGTTACACAAATCTCTAGGGCAGGAGCAAAATGCCACCAGTCTTTTTGCTAAACATAACAGGAGTCATCTTTGCTCCAGTTCCCAAAAAGTTTCTCATCTCCATCTGAGAACACTTCAGGCTGGACCTTATTGTTAATATCACTATCAGCATTTTTGTCAAAGCCATTCAACAAGTCTCTAGGAAGTTCCAAACTTCCCGCATTTTTCAGTCTTCTTCTGAGCCCTCCAAACTGTTCCAACTGCTGCCTACTACCCAGTTCCAAAGTCACTTCCACATTTTCGGGTATCTTTTCAGCAACTCCCCACTCTACTGGTACCAATTTACTGTACTAGTCCATTTTCATGCTGCTGACAAAGACATATGTAAGACTGGGAAGAAAAAGAGGTTTAATTGGATTTACATTTCCACATGGCTAGAGAGACCTCAGAATCATGGTGGGAGGTGAAAGACACTTCTTACATGGCAGTGGCAAGAGAAAATGAGGAAGAAGCAAAAGTGGAAACCCCTCAGATCTTGGGAGACTTATTCACCATCAGGAGAACAGCATGGGAAAGAGCTGCTCCCATGATTCAATTACCTCCACCTGGATCCCTCCCACAACACGTGGGAATTCTGGGAGAGACAATTCAAGTTGAGATTTGGGTGGGGGCATAGCCAAACCATATCAATACCCAAAAGAAAGGAAAGCAGTATATTGAAGAGATATCTGCACTCCCATATTTGTTGCAGCACTGTTCACAATAGCCAAGATTTGGAAGCAACCTAAGTGTCCATCATCAGATAAATGGATAAAGAAAATGTGGTACATATACACAATGGTTTACTATTCAGCCATAAAAAAGAATGAGATCCTGTCATTTGCAAAAACATAGATGGAACTGGAGATCATTATGTGGAGTGAAATAATCCAGTCACAGAAAGACAAACATTGCATATTCTCACTTATTTGTGGGATCTAAAAATTAGAACAACTGAGCTCACGGACACAGAAAGTAGAAGGATGGTTACCATAGGCTGGGAAAGGTAGTGAGGGACTCTGAGGGAGGTGGGTTTATGAGTACAAAAACAAATAGAAAGAATGAATAAGACCTACTATTTGATAGCAAAACAGGGTGACTATAGTCAATTATAACTTAATTGTGCATTTTAAAATAACTAAAGGAGTGTAATTAGATTGTAACATGAGGGATAAATGCTTATGGGGATGGATCCCCCATTTTCCATAATGTGATTATTTCACATTGCATGCCTGTATCAAAACATCTCATGTACCCCACAAATGCATACACCTACTCTATATTCACAAAAATTAAAAAGAAAATAAAAGAAAAACAGAACTAATAATATCACAAGTTCAATTATACAAAAGGGAAAAAGAGAGAGAATTAAAGGTGAGGGGAGAATTGGACAGAACGAAAAGAATTCTGGAAGTCCTAGATAGTAGTTCACAAACTTTAGTGTGCATCAAAATCACTTGGAGGCACTAATTACTGGGTTATATTCCCAAATTTCTGAATTAGCACATCAGGGATGGAGCCAAGAATGTTCATTTCCAACAAGTTCCCAGATACTGTTGATGCTTCTGCCCAAGGACCTCACGTAGAAAACCCCATAGGCTTAAGGAAGTGAGCTGTGAGTAGGGGGAAGATGAAGGAAATGGATAACACCAGAAAAATTATAATTGCCCTCCTAAAAAGGCATTACATTAATATTCCATCAAAAAAACTGATAAAAGGCTGTGATTGGTAACTTACAATACATTGGTAAAGTTTGATTGTTATTACTGTTTTAAGTAAGTAGAATTAAGATGACCATATATCTAGGCTTGTCTGAGAGAGTCTTAATTTTCTCCAATTTCCCAGCATAACAATTAGTAGCACTCCCTTTCTTTCTTGAGAGTAACCCAATTGAAACAATAAATTATATAGTTACCTTCCTTTTTCATAAGAATGAAATACAAAATATATGGAAGCTGTAAGGATGCTTCTTCTCTGTCTGCCTGGGCAAGAAATTAAATGAGCTGGTGCAAAGAAGCAACAAAGATCTTTATCTACTTAATGCCCTTTCAAAGGATCTTTGAAAAATACTGAGTAGCAGACACTGCTCAAGATAGAGAGACAGTACTGTATACACCAAGCAGAGAAAAAACAATGAGTACCAGACTTGGAGCCAGGATGATTAATAGCTAGGTATTTCTTAGCCCAGAGAAAAGGTATGCCTTTTGGTGGCTGGGCCTTCTCAGGACACTCTTATAGGCAGGAAATAGCTATTAATCTCCAGATATTCTGACTCTGGGCATCTGAGAAAGAGTCAGAAAAGAATCTTGTTTTTCTACCAACAACTCAGGGAATTCAGATGTATGGCATCCATTGACCATAGTTTGAAGAGCACTTCAATCAACTTCATCAAAGTTTGATGTTTTACTCTTCCCAGTAGAAATGACATTTTAAAAGCTTAACCCAAAGGAATGAATTTATAACAAAAGAAATCCAGAAATCAACTAAATATATACCAGAAGAGCACACAGGCACTCCTTTTCTCCACATAGAGAGGCCTATGTTAGGTCCAAGATCTCAATTCCATCCTTCCAGTACCAAAATAGAAGAGCAGGCTGGAAGAAGAAGGTCATCACAGTGGGTAGAACCTGGAATTAGAGCATCTGTAACTACCTCGCCTCCTTCATGAAATTAGAAGTTCTCTAGTACTATCAGTAAATCATGGCGGGAGAATCCTTTAATTACTTCCATAAAATTCCTCAGGTCCCAGAACATCAAGCATTGTAATTTGGGTTGGAGGAGTCCTCCACAGTTGTCATGGGAGATATGATAGCATTTTATAATCTGAAGGCACCTTGAGTGCTATAACCTGAAATTTCCTTTATTCAGTAGAATTTTAATCAAGTTTTCTCTGGCTTGATTTCTTTTTGTTTTTCTCTGTAATGTAACACTTGGGCAAGATTCAATTCTGACATCTTAAGGTCTGAATAAATATGCATTTTCCATTGAATTGATGATATAGCCATGCCGAGTGTATCCTTGACATTGTATCACCTTCTTGGTCATACATTGACATTATAATGTTATTTACTACAAAATTACATTGACAGCATCTTAGGAAAACTGAGAGAGCATTTTAGTTGCAATCAAAGAGAATATTGAAGCACATTTTGACAAAAACGACTTGGAGGGAAAAAAATAACACTACCAAATAGTGCCTCAACAAAATCGTCACAGATTTCAGAAAACAATTTAACTATATGAATGCTAGTTAGCAGTTTATTCTGGATCAATGACAGATAAGTGATTGAACTTTATTGAGAAAGACTTCCTCAAGAAATATAAAAGAGAATTTTGGCTGTCTCAGGAAGCAAAACAGAATTGAGAATCCTCTGCTTTTATTTTCAAGTACAAGGTAATATGATCACCTTCTCTTCACAGATTTTGCCAGATAACTATAAAAATTATAATCCACATCATAATGAATATTTTGTAAGTACGCATCTAGAAACATATATTTTAGTATAGAGGTAAGCCACAGAAGTATAGCATTTTGTTATTTTAATTTTAGAATAGGCCGGCAACCTATTTAATCCCAGAGCTTCATTTTGGACACATTGTTCAGGCTTATATTGTCAATATTTCCTCTTAGATCTGCATGTCTATTTCTCTCACATTACATCCCACTAAGTATTTTGGGCAGTGGAAGGAAAAACGAAAAAGTAAAATCATAGTAACTAGCATTCACAAAATGCCAGCTATACACCAAACACCATACTAACCAAGCACATTACATGTAAAATCTCATTTACTCATGACAAGAACCTTATGAAGAAATACAATTATTATTCACACTCTACAGATAAAGAAAGTAACCACTGCAAAGGACAAACACTTCTCTATAGACACATACCTAGTAAGCAATGGAGTTGGGATTTGAACATGTCTGGCTCCAGCTATCACTCCTCTTGGAAAGAAAAGAAATGGAAAAAGTGAGGCCAGAGCGTGTGGATGGTGGAAAGGAGTCAAATACATCTACAAATGCTCCCAGCCCATCCTCATGGTTGCCATTCCTCTTTCCAGTTGGAAATCTGGTGGAAGGGAAAGGTCTCTGACCCAAAGCCATGATGAGTGAAGCCAGAGGGAGATTTACTAGACCTTTATTGAGAGATGTTGCTGAAGTTCATCACCCAAGCAGTGATCTTCAGGGCAAGGAAATACAGTGATCCCACCAGAAATCTAGTGGACAGTCTGAGGGAGAGCCAAAAAAGTTTCCAACCTGTAGACAGCTGGGCAGGAGTCTCTCTGGTCTCTCTGAATAAACATCAGAGACAGCAGCAGCTGGGCTTCAGAGATTGGCTCACAACCAGTAAATTATGCAGATCCATTAATGTTCCATCATTGGTAGCCATATTAATTTAAGAACTTAGATGAGGGGTGTTTTTAGTTCCAAATTCTTCTTTCTTACTGTTAACTAAAATATTTGTCAAGATCTTCTGTCCATAGTGAAATCCTGTCAAGTAGCATCCAAATTCAGTTCTGAACATCATTGACTTCTTTCCTAAAAATATCATTTGCTGAGTGATCAAGAAAATGTGAACAGTATTTGACCTGAAACTATTTAGGATAAAAATTATGTAAACTTCTTTCTTAATCAATTATTCAATACTATAATGTAAATTAACTTTTTTGTTGATATGAGTGCATAGTATACCAAAATAATCACACTCTCAGCCTCGATGTCAAATGATCCCAACATTTGTTCACTAGAATCTACTTCTAAAAGAATCACTCATCTGCATTATTTTTCAATTATAAACTTATGAGGGTTCAATAAAACAAGTGATTTTCAAGGGACTTTCAATTAAATGAACTTGCTTAGTTGTGTTCAATTAAGCACTAGACATAGAAGATGGGTGATTTTCAATATAAGAAAATATGCTACCAATGTGTTGCTTTGAGTCTAGGGGAAAAAAGTCATTTCTTAAATAATTAACTTGAATACAGCTATCACTTGAATCCCTGAATCTATTGCTAGAAATAATTACTGGTGAATTAGCTTTATATTTGATAATTTATAATATGGAATGTATATTATTCCATTTCATATATATGTGTGTGTATATATATGTACATTTATACATATATGTGTATGTATACCTACACATATATATGAAAGAAAAGAGAATACACACACACACACCTGTTTTAATGGCTCTAATAGGTTATAATTATATTGACAGAACATTTCAAAAAACATAATAACATGGAAATATTATTTGGTTAAAGGTCATGAAAAGATCATAGAAAGAACTACAAGTTACTGTCTCAAACTTCCCCTTTCCTTAATTATCCAATTCACATTCTTCATCATTTTTTCAAACTTTTCTTTATCTTTTCTAGTTCTTTAGGTGGTTAACTTCTCTTTCCTAAACAGTTTTGTATCTAAATTTTATTGTGTAGTTGGCTTTCATATATAGGCTATTGAGTTTCTGCTATTGAGTTTCTAATATGATAAATAAGGATGATCTTCCCCATACTCTTTCATCTACTTCTTCTGCTAATATTGTTTTGTCACTGCTCTGATTAATTGAGTATGCAAATTCAAACAAGATATGTAAACCTACATTTCTTATTCTGAAAACCACAACCCCTTGACTTCTCATTTGATAAGCTGATGTTGCCAGCAAGGGTCAGTCAGGTGGAGACTGATAAGTACATAAATTTTCTCCCTATCAAAGAAAAGTGCTAAAATTATATTTCCTACTATATAGGTCCAAGACTATGACACTTGTGCTCCACAAAAGAGAAAGTTTTAGCATGAAGTTTAAATGGACTATCCTTGTCTTATGTCTTTATCATCTCTGAATTTTTTTCTAAGCTCTCAATCATTCTATATTCTATTAAATCTCCTTTTATCCCTGGAGAACTCTCTACCCAGATCTTCTGATCTCCTAATTGGGTCTGAGTTTCCTGGTACTTGTATTAACTCATCTAGTTATTTCCCAGAAAGCTTATAGTCCTTTTCAAGTTTTAAAAATTTTGACAGCTCTTTTAAGGTATAATTGACATGCAATTTTACATGCAATTAGATTTTTATATTTAAATATTTTAGACTTAGAAAAGAGTTGCAAATATAGTGCAGAGTTCCCATATATCCTTCACCTATAATCCTCTAATGTTAGCATTTTACATAATCCCATGCAAGGATAAAAATTTTAAAATTGACATTGGTACAATACTGTATTACTCAGGGTTCTCCAGAGAAGCAGAACCAATAGGATATGTAGAGTTATGTAAGAGGGGACTTATGGGAATTGGCTCACGTTATTATGGATGCTAACAAGTCTTACAAAATGCCACCTGCAAGCTGGAGAACCAGAAATGCCAGTGGCATAATTCAGTCTAAATCCAAAATCCTGAGAACCAGGGGAGGCAATGGTGTAACTCTCAGTCCGAGGCAGTAGGTCTGATAAATCTGCTGATGCAGGTCCCAGGGTTCAAAGGCGTAAGGACCAGTTCAGCTGTCCATGGGCAGGAGAACATGGATATCCCAGCTCAAAAAGAGAGAGGATTCACCCTTCCTCTCTGCCTTTGTGTTTTATTTGGACCTTCAATGGTTTGAGAGATGACTGCCCACATCGATGATGGTGGATCTTTACTTGGTACACTGACTCAACCCAGAAATGTTTTTACCAGCTATCTGAACATTCCTTAGCCCAGTTTAACCATCACAACTGCATAAAACTACTCAGGTGATGGATGCATTAAAATATCAGAAGCAAAGATTCCTGTACCCATACAGTTATTTTTTTAAATTAACCATTATGAACAGTATTTACTAAATTGTGGATTTTATTTAGATTTCACCAGTTTTCCCACTAACATTCTTTTTCTGTTCCAGTATCCAGAATCCAGCATTGCTTTCAGCTTCCATAGTTCTCTTTTAACCTATTATAGCTCCTAAGGCTTCCTTGTATTTTATAACTTTGACTTACTTAAAGCTTAACTGTCAGGTATTTTGTAAAAAGTTCCTCAGTTTGGGTTTTGTCACATATATATCTATATGTGTGTGCCTCATCATGTATATGCTTTGATTTTAAAATACAGAACCAGTCTTGCATCTATTGGATGAACTGCCCTTGGTTGTATCTCTTTTTTATATTGCTGGATTCTATCTGATAATATTTTGTTGAAGATTTCTCTGTCTACAATCTAATCTTTTTGATGTATCATTTGATGCCTATCATTAATAGGCTTTTTTTAAAACCCAGCCAGTAGTTCTTCAAATATCATTTTTTCTTGTTCTCTTTCTCTATTTTCCTTCTCAAATTCTAATCATGTATATAGTAGGTCATTTGATACTGTCCGAACTTACAGGAATGCTGTTTGGAGTTTTGGGTTTAGTTTTTTTGCTTCTTTCCACATTTTATGTTTGTGTTTGAATAACTTTTTATAGGCCTAATTTCAAGTTCACTGATTCTTTCCTTGTCTGTCTTGATTTTCCTAATGAACCTTTAAAAGACATTCTTCATCTCCTTACTGTTTTTCATTTCTAGCATTTCTATTATTTCTTCTAGTTTTCATTTCTCTACTGAAATTAATCACCTGATAATTGATATAACACCATCATTACAGTGTTTAACATATTAATTATAGTTATTTTAAATTTTCTTTAAAATAATCCAAATATCTGTATCACATCTGAGTTCAATTTTTACAGTGGTTTTCCTTCTTCTGATGCAATTTTTTTCTTGTTTTTTCATATGCTTTGCAAATTTGTCAGGTATCTTATGCAGGACAATAGAGACTGAGGTAACCAACTTTTTATCCCTGAAACTGGGCATATTTTTTCCTCTGCTATGCCTTTAATGCCGGAGCTTCAGGTAATATAATTAGGAGATGGACTGTTTGAGGTTTGTTTCTCCAATGGTTACCGTCATTGCACACAGTCTTTAAATTTTTCTAGAAATATCTTTAAAAAAACAGCGTCTAATTTGTTTGGTTTTGTTTTTCAATGTCTGGCTCACCCTCAGCTATTAGTCATCACTCTGCTCACCTCAGAGTGTATCATGCAAACTAATTGCTACTTAACACTTCTTAGCCTGGTGGTAAGGAGTTCAAGGTAGTCTTTTTTGTTAAAATTAAACTTGTTTTATCCAGATGCAATGTCCCTTACCTCAATATGTTTGCCCTGTTGGTAATTTAAGTATTTCCCTGCCCCTTCACCAGAGACAGGTTTTTCTAGTTCTCTTCCTCAACTGCATTCTGTTTTCACAAGTGTCTTAATAGCAAAAGTGTTTTATTTTCCCTGTCCCCATAGATTAAGCCTCCTGTCCTACAGAGTTCGAAGAAAAGTGCTCTGATAGAGTTTAGTGCCCCTTCTACACAGTATCTACTCTTCCCCACCCAGATTTTTACCATAAGGGAGACTTTTTGAAGTTGTCCAAATCTTTGCTTTGAGTCCCAGCAGGATTCATGGAGTGAAAAAAAAACATGCAATAGGATGAAATGTCCTCTCTCATTAGTACAGCCTTGATTAGCCCCCAGCATTGTACCACTCTTTCTAGTTAAACTCTTCTTTCCTATATCTGGCTATATCTTTCCCAGTAAACCAATGCTCATGAATTTTCCATCCCTGAAGTCAGGAGTATCTCTTTAAATTGTCAGGCAGTTGGTTTCTCTGTAATCTCAGCACTCCTAAGTCATAAACTTACTGTTTGTCCATTGGAAGATGATGGTGGTGATGATTAAAAAGATAGTAGGAACACTTTTTTCATCTCTCTATATCCCCAAGTGGAAAACTGATTGTGGTACTTTTTGATTTATAATTGTGTTTGCCAGAGTTCATACTCAGTAACTTAAAGAAAGAAGGGGAGGACTGTATGGTGTGTAAGTATTCCAAATACTTAGATGTCTGAGTATAATTGTGTTCTTTGTTCACATTTGATTGCAGTTTTGCTAGGCTTAAAATTCTAAGTTAAAAATTATTTTCCCTCTAAACTCTGAAAGACTTTCTCAGTTGTCTTCAGCATCTAGTGTTGCTAATGACAAATCTGATCCCATTCCAGTATGTATTTCTTTGGTAGTGGCCTAATTTGGCCTTCTAGAAAATCAATAGTCTTCTATTCATCCTTAGAACTCTGAAATTTAAGAAAAATAGCTTCAGATTTGCATTTTTTTATCCACTGTGCTTAGCATTTTTTCAGTAGTTTCTTCAATTTTTGGCTGCTTTTTTTCAGAGCTGTAAGTTATAATCCTTGATTTCTTGTTTGTCTTTTTATAAAATTAGTTTATGCTTATGGAGTACAATGTGATGTTTTGATCTATGTGTACATTGTAGAAACATTCTGTCATACTGACATATCCATCACCTAACCAAATTTTTTTATGGTGAAAATGTTAAAAATCTATTCTTTTAGCAATTTTGAAATATACAATACATTTTTATTAACTTTCGGTTAACATGCAGTGCAATCGATTAGTAAAATGTATTCCTCCAGTCTAACTGAAAGTTTGTACTCTTTGATCTACATCCCGCCATCCTCACCCCTCCCTGATTCATTCCTCCACTTTATTATCTGATTCTATGAGTGACTTTTTGGATCCCACATGAGAGAGACAGGAAGCAGCCAAACGCCTATGCAGATAGGGGTGGGTCTGTAGTGAAACCCTACCTCCAAGCTGAAGACAGTTTAAAGCCTGAAAGCCCAGCTACAAGTTAAATCCTCAGACCAGATTGAGAAGTTTTCTTCCCGTTTGGCATGCTTTCCTCTGATTGTTCCCCATCCTTCACCTATTTTACGTACACCTACCCTTTCCTAATTGGTTTTCTACACTGCCATGCCCACCTTTGAGTAGTGTCTTCGCTTCAATCTTTTTTCCATACTCACAATCCAGTCAGCACACACTCCCCATTCTAAGTCCATAAGAGGCCCCAGCCACACAGGAAAAGCCTTCCTGCCTTCGGGTAGGGGAACCACCCCCTGTATCCCCGCTCTGCTGAGAGTTTTCCTTTAACTTAATAAATTCTACTCCACTCACTCTCCAGTGTCCGTGTGCCTAATTCTTCCTGTTCATGAGAAAAGAACTTGGACCTAGCTGAGCTAAGGAGCAGAAAGACTGTATCACACGTGTAAGTGACAAAATACAGTATTTCTTCTATGCATAGTTTATTTTACTAAGAATATTACTAAGGAGAGTGTCCTACAGCTCCATCTATGTTCCTGCAAATGACAGTCTTTCCTTCTTTTTTAAGGTTGCATAGTATCCCACTGTGTGTATGTAAGACAACATCTTTATTCAGTCATCCATTGATGGATACTAACATTTCTTCCATATCTTGGCTATTGTGAATAATGCAGAAATGAACATGGAGATGTCTTCAACATTTCTATTTCAGTTTTTTTGCATATATACCCAGAAGTCAAATTCTTGGATTATATGGTAATTCAGATTCTCCCTCTCTTGGTAATCTAAGCATGAGCTATAGAAGAACTTAAAGAGCTGATAAGAGGAGCTGAAAATATGCACAGAAAGAGAGGTCATGAAATATCAGTATCATAGTGGGCCACAAGTAAAAATATGATTATGTGTATGTTAAAATTAAGCCAAAACTGAAATAGATAAAAGATGTTTTTATAATAGAGAGTGAAGCAAATGATTGTAGTAGAAGCAGAAATGAGGAAGAGTATATTCCTCAGTGCAGGAAATGGAAGCTCTCCTACTGATGAACGCTAAAGCTTCTTAGATTTTCTTGGAGCCTCAACTACTTTCTAGGGTCTATGATCTCTGGTTTATTTCTGTACAACATTCTTGTCCTCATTCTCATATGCAATATAACCACAGTTTTACAATTCAAGATAACCTGGGTCTGTTTCTAGCTACCAAAATAACCTAGCACATTTCCTCAAGTAGACCATAAGCGGTTCAAGTGTCCAATTCTTTGCATGCACCACAACATCTGAGTTTTAAACACCAGAGATTCTTGATGTGTTCATTCAATGGTTCTAGAAACTAGAAAAGAGATGATGCTCCAATCTAGAGATTAGAGAAGTGGTGAGTGTACCTACAATGTTTCATACTGCTATCAAGTATTAAAGTATTGCTCTTGATATACACACAACAAATTGGAGTTTACTTAAAGCACAAATTGTGACAGGCCATAACTTCTTTAGCTGGTTATCACAAAACCACCATACTCTGAGACCTTCTAAAACATCCCCGTGGTGAGTCAACAGAAGTCTATAAATCTAGTTAAGATGCTTGGATTTGTTCTCCCTCAGAAGACAGTAACACAAGACAAGCTGCAGCCTGAGGTCATCATGCATTTGATTCATGACGTTTTTCTTGTTAGGTTATACCTGCTATGAATGAATAGTCTGAGAATTTCTTACACAAATGTAATGAAAAATATAAAGTGTTCATCCTAGGAAAGGAATGGAAATGATGAATAGAAAAAGAATTTCTACTCTAAGCTTGTGATGTCAAAATGTTTATAATAAAAAATAATTTATATGATGCTTTCTGGCATTTGGCTTAAACATAAATGTTTTATCTTTAATATTACTTTAAAATATAACACTAGTGCCAGTGAAGCTGGATTATCTATATATTCAAGTCTATTTTACCTTAATACATAAATATTTTATTTATTAAAATACTGTTTTGTTATTAATCACAAGTGAAAGCTCCTGAATATAGTCATAAGTTTTGCTTGTTTTTTCAATATTCCATATGTGTAAGAAGAAATTTACATAGACTATTTGTAGTTTCAAAGTAAAAAAATATTTTCTAATGAATATCACATTTTATTAATTTTTAGTTCAATATTCAGGATTGATTTTTAGTTTTCAAAGTGATGAGTGGGTTTTTTTCTTATTATTACAATCCACTAATAATAGAACCCATCTGTTTCTTAAATAGGTTATGTAGGAAATCAACTATCTTTACTTCAAGTATTATTAAGACAAAAATACAATGACTTAATATATACTTATAAAGGTGAATTAATAAAAATTTTCAGCTGGTCTAACAAATTGTTTTAATAGTGATAGTTTGACTATAGCATGTTTTTTTCTCCAAGGACATGGTCTTTACCTTAGACCTTGAAACTGAGAGAAATTCACTATGAATTAAGAACACTTGTCATGAGGAACACAGAAATAGTATTGATTGAATTGTTATGTGGTAAACATTTCTATAGGCTTTCTCACAAACGATATAGAGAATTTCCAAAATAATACTGTGACATCTTTCCTTGGAAAAAAAAGAAATTGAGTCATATTTAATATCTTTACATTTAGATGTTAGCTTTTGATACTACTAGAGGAAACTAAAGATAAATCCATACTGCTCCACCAAAAAAAAAGTGTCAGTTAAGAATATTACTAAGTCTAGACTGCATAAGTAAGATAAAACAGCCAAGTCAATAACAGATCTCTTCTTCTTTAAGAAAAAAAATTATTCAGTAAAAGGTTTCACTTCTCACATAACTTTGAGGGAGATGCATTATCTTTCAGATTCATAACACCAAGGGAGCAAGGAGCCTAAATGTAGGAGCCTGGTCGTGAATTGAGACTAGAGCTGTTAGCACACTCTTCCTATTTGGAAGAAACCTAAGACCACACAAGCCAAGCCATTTGGTCTTCTAATGTTTAGCCCTAGAGCGGGAGCAAGCCCTATATTCATGATCCCAAGAAACATCAATCATATACAAGCCACTCCTATCTGGAGGACAAGCAGACCATGAGGCTATTCTGCTTTTAATAAAGGATGAGAATTGTATTGAATGAAGCAAAGGATTAGTGCAAGTCACTCTCTCTAGAGCATTCAATAAACCTTTCTCCTGCCTTTTTAAAATTAATCCATTTAAGTGAGATAGAGTTGATTAAAATAAGATCTTCCCCAGAACTCTTAAATCTTGCTTCTAATTTCAGGGACTCCATATACCAACAACTTCTGAAACATTACTTACAACTATCTAATATTGATAGTAGCAGGAGACAGAAAAATCCCTAGGCAGATGGGGCAGGTCCCCAGTGAAACCACACCTTCAAACCAAGGACAGTTTAAAGCCTGTAGCCAAGCTACAAGTCTCAGATAAAGACTTGTATGGACTGGATTGAGAACCTCTCTTCCCATTTGGCATGCTTTCCTCTGAATGATCCCTACACTTCACCTATTTTGTATACACCTCCCCTTCCCTAATTGGTTTTTTAACATTATCATGCCCACATTTGAGTGGTGCCTTTTAGGTTTTTTTTGGTATACTCACAAACCAATCACCATGCATTCACCCATTCTGAACTCACAAAAGCCCCAGACCCAGCCACAATGAGAGAGGGACTGCCTGACTTTGGGTAGGGAGGACTACCCACCTTCAAGTGGAGGACTACTGCTTCGAGTCCCCTCTACACTGAGAGCTGTTCCATTGCTCAGTAAAACTTTTCTCCACCCTTCTCACCCTTCGGTTGTCAGTGTAACCTCATTCCTCTTGGAGGCAGGACAAGAACTTGGAACCCACCAAACATGAGTACAAAAAAGTCTGTAACACTGTGACCCTCTGCCCTCTGCTGGCATGGGGTAGCTGACCCATGTAACAGGAAGCAGTGATGGCACTGGACCAGCCCTGGAGCCACAGGCCACAGTGGGGCAGTGGGACTGAATGAGCTGTAACAGAGGAGGGCTGGGAAACACTGAGCCCAGCTGCAGGCTGAGCATGAGATCCAGGCCAGGGCACAAGCTACACACAGCCTGCATAGCCAAGTGGGCGGGATACCTCCAGCAGCAAGTCAAGGGCTGAGCAGGGCTTGGGCAGGGATATCACAGGCCACAGAGGTCTCCAGCTGGTGAAGCGGCACCAAAAATATCCTGCATCAATATGGTTAGTACACTGATACAAAAATTGAAATAATTTGCCCAAGATGACACTCAGGAAATGGCAAGAAAGAGGACTGGAACTCTCAGCAGCCTAATTCCAAAGTTCTTGCTCTAACCCCTTGCTGAGTTTTAGTGCCACAGCATTAACTATAATTATGTGGAGACAATGTAGAGAGGGAAGAAATTTCTCACCTTCTCCTGCAATTTCAATAAGTTATTTGAATTCTTTGTGGATCCTCCTCTTGACTTCAAAGTATTAGGGTTGATTTGTGTGTTTTACACCTGTATGCACATGCAAACAGAAAGAAACGTGTGTGTGTGTGTGTGTTTCTGTGTGAGTATTTACAAATACATGCCATTTATTGAAACTATTCAGTATGGACACATTCTCTCAGCATTACTTTGAGTTGAGAGCAATTGAGGAGTAGAAACAAAGAAAATCTGCTTTTCCTCCCCTCTCTATCAGAAAAAGCAAGAGTATTCTTAATCACTGGAGACAGTTCTAAACTCGTTAGACTAGAGAAAGCATCAGTGGAATCTATGCAGCAAACCTTGCTAAAATAACCTTCTTTCATTGGTTTCTACCATATACTTGCCTTTTCACAGCTGCTGTCCCTAAAAACCAGAAGCATTTTTCTTTCCTTTGTAATTCCTCTACAAATGTATTTTTCTTTTGTTAAGATGCTTCATATTCCCCAAGTCCTAACCCCTTCTTTGGGTTACTCATCCACTGAGTACCCCCAGTTGCATAATGCCCGCTAATAAGCTTCTTATTAGCTTTTTTTGTTGTTGTTTTTCTCTTGTTAATTTGACTTTTGTCTGTCTACTTTTCAGAATCCTAGTCAATGAACCCAAGATGAGTAGAGGAAAACTCCTCAACACTTACGTTTCTTTTCGAAGTCCTCTTGAGTCTTAAACAGAAGAGAGGGCTCGTATGCATGAGCAAAAGGATTTTTTAAATCTTAGAATAAGGATTTAAAAAAATAAACATTTCCACTTTCAAATAAACATCCCTCCAAAAACCTTCAAAGTATTAAATCATGGATACATTAGATATTGCATAGGATAAAAAAGATGAACCCTTTATGATTAATCATTCATCACAGTATTAAAAAATGAGATGCTATAAATATGCTCACAAGGTTATGCATTCTAATACTACATACTGAATGCTTTTCCAGAGAAAAGTAAGAAAAGTGAAGCATTAAGCAATAAAAAAAGAAAACTATAAGAGCAGACATGGGAGTATTAATAATAACCAAAGATATGTCAATCTTTTAGAAGTCTTGGATAATAGAATTTTATAGTAAATCTCTATCTATATCTAGTAAACAATCCTGGTTTTCAATTTAAAACCCTATGTTTATGCCAGCAGAACTGACAAGTCCTACCAAGATTAAAAGAAAATTATTTGTCATTGAAGACCTCTCATCTTGCTAAGGAAACAGAAATATTAAAGATAACTTACTAAAAGTTATATTCAGAAACACCATCTATTTAACAATATTGCATTTGGTTAAGAAAAAAATTACAAACTTTGAGATCTTAAAAAAAAAAATAAGAAAAAATCATTTCTTTTGATTCACTTAAAGCTACTTTCTGCCATTCTGCTTTCAGAGTTTCAACAAAGGCATAGGCTGGGTGTTCTGGCTTACACCTATAATCCCAACATTTTAGAAGGCCAAGGCAGGGAGATCACTTGAGTCCAGGAGTTTGAGACCAGTCTGGGCAACATGGCAAGACTCTGTCTTTACAAGAAATTAAAACTTACCCAGATGTCGTGGCGCACACCTGTAGTCCCAGCTACTTGGGATGCTGAGGTGGGAGGATTGATTTAACCTAGAAGGTTAAGGCTGCAGTGATCCATGATTGTACCTCTGCACTCAGCCTGGGTTACCAGAGTGAGACTCTGCCTCAAAGTAAATAAATAAATAAATAAATAAACAAACAAAAACATAAACCAAATACATAAATAACATCATCAATATCTACATACAATAAAATAGTTTTACTATTTAATTATAAATTCAAAAACAGGAATTAAATATTTAAGTACCTTCTAAATGTGAAGAATGTAAGGCTCCAAGAGCCTAGTACCTATGGAGAAAACAGAAAATGGCTGTCAGAAACAAATCCCAGGAGCACTCAACAGAGACTACACTGAAAGTACTAGAAATGTACATGAACACAGAACACCCCCAAGAAAACTATATAAAATCAATTAAGAAAAACAAAAAATCTAGCTGGGCTTACAGTAAAATCAGCAGTAATTATTAAGCCAGCTTGCTCTTTGGCGCACTTTCTTATAGGTAGTTGCTGTTTATTATGTACCCCTTGTCACAGGATATTGTGTTTTTTTGTTTGTTTGTTTGTTTGTTTTACAGGTAAAATCTAAAACAAATAAAATAATAAACTTTAAATTTTCCCTTTAGATTTTGCATATTAATAAAAGTTGCTTGTCTGAAGGGCCCAGCAAGGAACTGACTCACGAAGAATGCAATATCCACATTCTGATGATTTTATCCCCCTTTCCTCGACCAATCAACAACCTCAACTTTCCAGCCCCTCACCTTCCACAATCCTCTTAAAGATCCTTGAGCAGCATCCCTTGAGGAGACAGATTTGAGGCTTGAGGATTCCTCCCATCTCCTTGCTTTTTGGTCTTGCTATTATTAAACTCTTTCTTTGCTGCAATCTCCACTGTCTCAGTATATTGATATGTTTCTGCAGAGCGGGCAAACAAACTTGCCAGTTTTGTAACAAACGTATAATCTGAACCTCTAGCCTATGAAAAAACACTTTTCTTAGCCATTCTACAAAGTCCAGAGTGTGATGTTTTAATATTAATTTAGACAATAAGCTGGCAATCTCGTAAGCATGTAACATCTATTGACTTCCTATCATGAATGAGGCTCAATGCATAGCTCTGAGGATTCAGACGTAAGTATGGAATGAATACTGCCTTATAGGAGGAGATAATCTAGTAGGAAAACAAACTCATGGAAAAGATAATGTTGAAATCATAATGCAAAAGACGCTGTAGCAATCATAATTACTGATAATAGAAAATGGCATCATTGTAATTGAAACATTTATTACGTTTACAATGTGCAAGGCACAATGTCAAAGCAATTTACAAGTATTAACTCACTGAATCCTCTATGAGACAAGTACTATTATTATAAATACCTTATTTTACTGATAAGGAATGGGAGGTTGAAGAAGTTAAGGTTATCCAGAAAGTAAAGGACAGACTATAGAATCAAACCCAGTCTGAGGCCTGGACTATCAAACATGCTGTTGTTGCCAATGAGTAAGAAGTCTATGGAAGCCTAGGGCAATGGAAGGGGAGAAAAAAAATATGCAATTTCTTTTCTCAATTCTCATAAGTTCTTAGCTGGGATACCTCTGTAACAAAAGACAGATTAGTGGAAAGGAAAGGTTTACAAATTTATTAACGGGCTTATGGACATGGGAGCCATACTACAAGGTATGAGGCTCAAGGGAGGGGTCAAATAACTGAAGTTTTCATTACACCCTCAGGTTACAGAAAGAATGCAGCTTGGAGGTCCTGGGGACAGGGAAATGTGGTATCACAGGTTATGAGAGAGTAAAGAGAAGAAAGTATGTCAAGCAAAGGCTGTCTTGTTACACACACGAAAATATTTCAGGTAATCTCAGAGCTGCCCTCAAAAAGAATAGATGGTAGCTTTTGTAAGGCTTCTCTGTCAGACCTTTAGAAGTATGAGACTTTGAGTCTCTTTTTTCTGTGAGTTAACCTTTCCTAGATCCAAGGGGGACCTCAGAGAAAGCCTGTTTTCATCTGTTGTTTACTTCATTTCACTAACATAGATTTCCTCTACAGATGCAAATGTCCCACAAACCAGGCAGCTTTTCAGGGCTATGTTTATGTTTTGCAGCCCCTCTGAATAGCCATATTAAAACAGGCCAAAGAAGTATATTTTGGGGTAAAATATTCTGGTTTTCGTCACAAGGGTACTTAGAATCAACTGGGGTATGGGAAAGGTTTTCTGGGAAGAGGGTATTCTGGGAAGTAGGAACAGGGAGCAAGAGTGTGGAGGTATGAAGTAGTCCTAGAGGTATCTGTCTCATTAATACAGCGTGAACTATGAGGTAGCTGGTGAGCTGAGTGAGGTTGGGGGCCTAGATGGATCAGGGGTGGTTTGGATGTTTTATCTTTTTCTTGTAGGCTACAGAGAGCCTATAACAAAATTTCTAATAGGGGAGTAAATAATATATTTGTATTAAGAGAGATCTGCTCAGTAGCTATGTGTTAGCAGCATGGGGAACAGTTTGAAGTAGGCAAGACTGGAAGTGTCACAGGTGTTTGAACCAGAGCAACTCCATCTTCAATAGGTGCTGGGTAAAATAAGGCTAAAAACCTACTGGTCTACATTCCCAGATGGTTAAGACATTCTAAGTTGCAGGATGATGGCACAAGATACAGGCCATAAAGACCTTGCTGATAAAACAGGTTGTAGTAAAGAAGCTGGCTAAAACCCACCAGAACCAAGGTGGCAATGAGAGTTAGCTCTGGACATCCTCACTAATACACTCCCACCAGCACCATGACAGTTTACAAATGTCATGGCAATGTCAGGAAGTCACCCTATATGATCTAAAAAGGGGAGGAATGAATAATCCACCCCTTGTTTATCATATAATCAAGAAATAAACATAAAAATGGGCAACCAGAGTCTCTGTCTATGGAGTAGCCATTCTTTCATTCCTTTACTTTTCTAATAAACTTGCTTTCACTTTACTCTATGGACTCACCCTGAATTATTTATTATGCAAGATCCAAGAACCCTCCCTTAGGGTCTGCATCCAGACCCCTTTCCAGTCACAGAAGGGTAAGATGACAGCTGAATAGAACCAACAGCAGAAGGCAGTGTTATTAACTTTGGGTTTTATAGCCTAACACATCATAAGTGCTAAGGCTATGTTAAACTTTCACACTTCTCCTTCAGATAGCCCAGCCCTTAACTGACATGCCATTAGTCTAAATATCATGCATTTCCTCCCCCTTCCCCCAATCAACATAACATAAATCTAGCATAGGGATTAGATAATTCTTTCAAATAAGCAAAAGATATTAGATATGTCTTTTATCATATTTCCAGACCAAAGAGAAAAGAAGAAAGTTCAGATGCCCAACACCCCAGTCCATTTTCTCAATGCTGGTGCCTGCCTCCCCAGCAAGAAACAAAGCTCCTAAACTCATGGGCACCAGGATGCTGGGGAAATGACTAACATGAAAGGGAGTTGGAAACTTAAAGTGCTAGATAAATATTAACACAAATGATTACATAAAATTCTGCATATTAGATATTTATATTTACCATCTGTTTGATTATTCAAGTTGTTGCTTACGAGATTGGCAGAAAAATGGAAAAACTAATTCTTTAATCAGTATGTGAACACCATAACACAGGCCTTGGAATTAAAAATACAAAAATGCTTCAGTCAGAGAGTATCCCTTCATTCTTGAAATTCTAAAACTACTTAGATGTTAATAGCATCTCCTGACTCTATTAAAGGTCAAATAAAACTTGTGAAGAAAAGCTCTCTTTTATACATATATTTGTTTCCTTTTATTTATGACAGCAAAGTTTTCATTAGCAACACAAGAATGCATTCTCAAGAGTGGATTCTTTTCACATAGTTTTGTTTTTTAAAGCATCAGCCTTAAGTAACTAAATATAATTTTTTTAACTTTTTTATATGACACAATAAAAATCATCTAAGCTATTAACTTTTGGAAATATAATTTGACCTAAGTACGAACTGGTTTCTCATTACTTTAAAAGTATATTTTGGCCAAAAAGGTAATTACCACAATTGTGTTATTTTAGATAGTTCTATGGTCTGAATGTTGGTGTTTCCACAAATTCATAGGATGCAACCTAAAACCCAATGCAATAGTATTAAGAGGTGGGGCATTTGGGATGTGATTAAGTTATGAGGGCCCCACTCTCATAAATTTTTGGTACTCCAATAAAAGAGGCTCAAGTTATCTCCCTTGCCCCTTCCACCGTGTGAAGTCACAGTTAGAAGGCGCCATCTTATGAGGCAGACAGCAAACGCTCATCAAACACGAAATCTGCTGGAACCTTAATCTTGGACTTCCCTGCCTCTAGGACTGTGAGCAATAATTTTCTGTTCCTTATAAATTACATAGCCTAAGGTATTTTCTTATATAGTAGCTCAAGTGGACTAAGAGAGATTTTCTAACGTATATCTATCTTTATTGTTTGTCTTAAATTACTATTCCTGTTTGTTATATATAACTCCTTCCACTAAGATTCTTTAATATTTTTTGTCACTGGATGATAACATGCCAAATAAAATGTGTACTAGTTTAATGTTTTCACGTGGTTAACAACATAGGTTATGTTTAATGCTTGACACCAAAGTATCCACATATTGATAATTCCCTAGATATATCAGGTTTCTGTGACAAAAAATCCAGTTGATGGGCTATGATTTTTATTTTTTAGTTAAAATATTATTCTATGTCACATATACAACATGTTCACTAGCTCCAAATCAAGGACAGGATAGCCTCAGTGAATAATTATTGATAAATATACTGAATCTGATTTCAGTGAAGCACTAGGTAAAATATTCCTGTCTTCTTTCTGTGTGTTTATTACTCTTTACAGAAATACAACCTGTCAAATCCTAGAAGCAGCAGTAGAAAAACAATAGGAATCTCCTCCTCTCTGGGCAGGGCATCTCTGAAAAAAAGGCAGCAGCCCCAGTCAGGGGCTTATAGATAAAACTCCCATCTCCCTGGGACAGAGCGTCTTGGGGAGGGGGCAGCTGTGAGCACAGCTTCAACAGACTTAAACGTTTCTGCCTGCTGGCTCTGAAGAGAGCAGTGGATCTCCCAGCACAGTGCTCAAGCTCTGCTAAGGGACAGACTGCCTGCTCAAGTGGGTTCCTGACCCCTGTGCCTCCTGATGGGGAGACACCTCCCAGCAGGGGTTGACAGACACCTCATACAGGAGAGTTCCAGCTGGCATCTGGTGGGTGCCCTTCTGGGACGAAGCTTCCAGAGGAAGGAGCAGGCAGCAATCTTTGCTGTTCTGCAGCCTCCACTGGTGATACCCAGGCAAACAGGGTCTGGAGTGGACCTCCAGCAAACTCCAGAAGACCTGCAGAAGAGGGGCTTGACTATTAGAAGGAGAACTAACAAACAGAAAGCAATAGCATCAACATCAACAAAAAGGATGACCATGCAAAAACCACATCCAAAAGTCACCAACATCAAAGACCAAAGGTAGACAAATCCATGAAGATGAGGAAAAAACAGTGAAAAAAGGCTGAAAATTCCAAAAACCAGAATGCCTCTTCTCCTCCAAAGGATCACAACTCCTTGCCAGCAAGGGAACAAAACTGGACAATGAGTTTGACAAATTGACAGAAGTAGACTTCAGAAGATGGGTAATAACAAACTCCTCCAAGCTAAAGGAGTAAATTCTAACCCAACACAAAGAAGCTAAGAACCTTGATAAAAGGTTACAGGAACTGCTAACTAGAATAACCAGTTTAGAGAAGAACATAAATGACCTGATGGAGCTGAAAAACACAGCACGAGAACTTCATGAAGCATACACAAGTATCAATAGCTGAATTTATCAAGCGGAAGAAAGGATATCAGAGATTGAAGATAAATTTAATGAAATAAAGCATGAAGACAAGATTAGAGGAGAAAAATGAAAAGGAATGAACAAAGCCTCCAAGAAATATGGGACTATGTGAAGAGACCAAATCTACATTTGATAGGTGTACCTGAAAGTGACGGGGAGAATGGAAAGACACAGACTGGCAAACTGGATGAAGAGTCAAGACCCAACAGTGCACTGCATTCAGGAGACCCATCTCATGTGCAAAGACATGCATGGGCTCCAAATAAAGGGATGGAGGAATATTTACCAAACAAATAGAAAGCACAAGAAAGCAGGGATTGCAATCCTAGTCTCTGATAAAACAGACTTTAAACCAACAAAGATCAAAAGAGACAAAGAAGGGCATTACATAATGGTAAAGGGATCAATGCAACAAGAAAAGCTAACTATCCTAAATACATCTGCACCCAGTACAGGAGCACCCACATTCATAAAGCAAGTTTTTAGAGACCTACAAAGAGACTTAGACTCCCACAAACAATAGTAGTGGGAGACTTTAACACCCCACTGTCAATATTAGACAGATCAATGAGACAGAAAATTAACAAGGATATCCAGGACTTGAACTCAGCTCTGGACCAAGCAGACATAATAGACATCTACAGAACTCTCCACCCCAAATCAACAGAATATACATTCTTCTCAGCACATCATACTTATTCTGAAATTGACCACATAATTGGAAGTAAAGTAGTCCTCAGCAAATGTAAAGGAACAGAAATCATAACAAACAGTCTCTCAGACCACACTACAATCAAATTAGAACTCAAGATTAAGAAACTCACTCAAAACCACACAACTACATGGAAACTGAACAACCTCCTCCTGAATGACTACTGGGTAAATAACGAAAAGCAGGCAGAAATAAAGATGTTCTTTGAAACAAGTGAGAACAAAGACACAATGTACCAGAATCTCTGGGACATTTTATGAGGACAGCATCATCCTGATACCAAAATCTGGCAGAGACACAACAAAAAAGGAAAATTTCAGGCCAATATCCTGGATGAACATCAATGCGAAAATCCTCAATAAAATACTGGCAAACCGAATCCAGGAGCACATCAAAAGTCTTATCCACAACGACCAAGTCGGCTTCATCCCTGAGATGCAAGGCTGGTTCAACACATGCAAATCAATAAACGTAATCCATCAGATAAACAGAATCAATGACAAAGGCCACATGATTATCTCAATAGATGCAGAAAAAGCCTTCGACAAAATTCAACAGCCTTTCTCATGCTAAAAATTCTCAATAAACTATGCATTGATGGAACATATCTCAAAATAATAAGAGCTGTTTATGAAAAACCCACAGCCAATATCATACTGAATGGGCAAAAACTGGAAGCATTCCCTTTGACAAATGGCACAAGACAAGGTGCCCTCTCTCACCACTCCTGTTCAACATAGTAGTGGAAGTTCTGGTCAGGGCAATCAGGCAAGAGAAAGAAATAAAGGGTATTCACATAGTTAAGAGAGGAAATCAAATTGTCTCTGTTTGCAGATGACATGATTGCGTATTTAGAAAACCCCATCATGGCTGGGCGTGGTGGCTCACACCTGAAATCCCAGCACTTTGGGAGGTCAACGTGGGCGGATCACGAGGTCAGGAGATCGAGACCATCCTGCCTAACACGGTGAAACCCCATCTCTACTAAAAATAAAAAAAAATTAGTCGGGCGTGGTGGCGGGTGCCTGCAGTCCCAGCTACTCCAGAGGCTGAGACAGGAGAATGGCGTGAACCCGGGAGGTGGAGCTTGCAGTGAGCCAAGATTGCGCCACTGCACTCCAGCCTGGGCAACAGAGAGAGACTCCATCTCAAAAAAAAAAAAAAGAAAGAAAGAAAAAAGAAAACCCTATCGTCTCAACCCAAAATCTGCTTAAGCTGATAAGCAACTTCAGCAAGTCTCAGGATACAAAATCAATGTGCAAAAATCACATGTATTCCTATACACCAATAACAGACAAATAGAGAGCCAAATCATGAGGGAACTCCCATTCATAATTGCTACAAAGAGAATAAAATACCTAGGAATACAACTTACAAGTGATGTGCAGGACCTCTTCAAGGAGAATTACAAACCACTGCTCAAGGAAATAAGAGATGACATAAACAAATGGAAAAACATACCATGTTTATGGATAGGAAGAATCAGTATCATGAAAATGGCCATACTGCCCAAGGTAATTTATAGATTCAATGCTATTCCCATCAAGCTACCATTGACTTTCTTCGCAGAATTAGAAAAAACTACTTTAAATTTCATATGAAACCAAAAAAGAGCCCATGTAGCCAAGACAATCCTAAGGAAAAAGAACCAAGCTGGACACATCATGCTACCTGACTTCAAACTATACTACAAGCCTACAGTAACCAAAACAGCTTGGTACTGGTTCCAAAACAGATATATAGACCAATGCAACAGAACAGAGCCCTCAGAAATAACACCACACATCTACAACCATCTGATCTTTGACAAACCTGACAAAAACAAGCAATGAGAAAGGATTCCCTATTTAATAAATGGTGTTGGGAAATCTGGCTAGCCATATGCAGAAAACAAACTGAACCCCTTCCTTACAACTTATACAAAAATTAACTCAAGATAGATTAAAGATTTAAATGTAAGACCTAAAACCATAAAAACCCTAGAAGAAAACATAGGCAATACCATTCAGAACATAGGCATGGGCAAAGAGTTCATAACTAAAACACCAAAAGCAATGGCAACAAAAGCCAAAATAGACAAATGAGATCTAATTAAACTAAAGAGCTTCTGCACAGCAAAAGAAACTATCATCAGAGTGAACAGGCAACTTACAGAATAGGAGAAAACCTTTGCAATCTATCCATCTTACAAAGGGCTAATATCCAGAATCTACAAGGAACTTAAACAAATTTACAAGAAAAAAACAACCCCATCAAAAAGTGGGCAGAAGATATGAACAGACACTTCTCCAAAGAAGACATTTATGTGGCCAATAAACATATGAAAAAAAGCTCATCATCACTGATCATCAGAGAAATGCAAATCAAAACCACAATGAGATACCATCTCATGCCAGTTAGAATGGCGATCATTAAAAAGTCAGGAAACAGCAGATGCTGGAGAGGATGTGGAGAAATAGGAACACTTTTACACTGTTGGTGAGAGTGTAAATTAGTTCAACCATTATGGAAGACAGTGTGGCAATTCCTCAAGGATCTAGAACTAGAAATACCACTTGACCCAGCCATCCCATTACTGGGTATATACCCAAAGGATTATAACTATAAAGACACATGCACATGTGTGTTTATCGCAGAGCTGTTCACAATAGCAAAGACTAAGAACCAACCCAAATGCCCATCAATGATAGACTGGATAAAGAAAATGTGGCACATATACACCGTGGAATACTATGCAACCATAAAAAAGGATGAGTTCATGTCCTTTGCAGGCACATGGATGAAGCTGGAAACCATCATTCTCAGCAAACTAACACAGGAACAGAAAACCAAACACCGCATTTTCTCACTCGTAAGTGGGATTTGAACAATGCGAACATATGGGCACAGGGAGGGGAACATCACACACCAGGGCCTGTAGGGGGTTGAGGGGCAAGGGGAGGGATAGCATTAAGAGAAATACTGAATGCATATGATGGGTTGATGTGTGAGCAACCGCCATGGCACATGGGTACCTACGTAACAAATTTGCATGTCCTGCACATGTATCCCAGAACTTAAAGTATAATAAAAATAAAACATACAAAAATAAAAGAAAAAGAAAAACAGTAGGAATCAATGACCTGAAGTGTCAGGAAATTACATCTACAACTGTTGAATACTCACCATATGCATCAGCCTGTTAAGACCACAAGACTACATGGAAATTTTAAGTGGGGAAACCCAGATTTCAGAGCCTAGAAACCACCAAGTATGTTGTTGTGACTCAGAAGACAATGCCCCAAAATGAAGGCCTCAGAAGCAAAATTTTCTCTGACCTTCCCCTGTCCTCCTCTCAGTCCCATGCTCCCCCAAGCCTAGCCATAGAAACTAGAATCCTCTTCCCAAGGTGGGTCATAGAACACAGATCCCTTTTCCACAAAGCCAGCGATAAAAGCTAAAAATATTATTCTAACTTTCCTTCCACCTTCATGTGTACAAACTGACCATAGAAAAATTATCTGATCTGCCTTGTTTTACTATAGTTACAAGAACCCCATTCCAGAGAGGGTTCTACCTCACACCCAGAAGGAAAAAATGCATGCTCAGGGAGGCCAAGAAGAATCTTGCTGGGTTTCCCCAAAGAGTCTATTAGCATTTTCGCTCAATCATATTTCTACCCAGCTATCTATACTTTGTTAAACCTATATATAAAAATGGACAATTTCCCCTGTATCTTTGGGTCTTTATTCTGCAGGCTCCTGTGTCATGTAAAACTATGATCAAATAAATGTATATGCATTTTCTCCTATTAATCTGCCTCTTGTCAGTGATTTTCAGCAAACCTTCGAAGGGCAAAAGGCAAGTTTTCTTTTGGCCCTGACAATGGCTTCAGAGTAAATTTGAATCACAAACAAAGCAAGCGAATCCCCATCAAATGCAACAACTGAAAGTCAGCAGAAAGAACTGGGTTATTACCAGGAAGATGAGCAGAAAGGAAATCAGGGAAAGTGATCAAATGTCTTGTAAACTCCCCAAGAACAGGAGTACATGGAGCAACTCTACTAGCAATTTCAAGCAGATGGGAAGGTGAAGAAAATGTCAGACACACTAACAAGAGTAATGTTTATTTAGAGATGATTGTTTAACCCAACTGGCAGCACCTGAGGCAGAACATTCAGAGAGCTTGGCCTTTCGATTTCCTGCCCCAGCCTTTTCAGAAAGTTCTTGTCCATGGTTCTCTTAAGTAAATTCATAACAAATTTAACATTTTACTCATGTCTGTATCTAAAAAAGAAAAAATACCAACTTAATAGATAACTTACTGTTGTCTTAGCTGAGTAATATAAAAACATAGTAAAACCGACTAATGTAGCAAAAAACACTCACTACAAAGGCTGAAAATATCCTGAAAATTTATTCAAATTTGCATAAGCATTATTATTTTTTCTGCAGCCCTCATGAAAAACTTTTTTTCATTACCTATGTAAAAACCTTATAAGCAATGGTAAAAGAAAATTCAAGCTTATTGTTCCCCTACTAAATGCCAGAAACTGTTCAAGGTTCTTTACATATGTTATCCCATTTAAGTGTTCTTACAACTATGAGGAGCCTTTCTCTCACTACACTGAATCTAGGAAGCAATATTTTGCAACAGTTTATGGTGCAAGAGAGACTGGAGGTCATAATTACTGTAGACACCTTTATTTGGCAATAGACAACTCATACTCATTTCCTGTTTCAGTTGCAAGTTATTCTCTTGCTTTGTTTAACTGTTACTCCCTATGGTTTTGGCAAGATGATGCAAAACTAAGTAATATCATTAATCTCAATCCATGACAAGTTATTTCAACCTAACCTAATAAGACTATTTTACATTTATCTGATAAGAAACGATAGCTTCTAAACACTTCAGAAACAAGAGTAAGGAGTTAGTTAATAATGTACAGTTTGCCAGGATTTGGACAACAGAAGATATATAAATACAGAGAAAGTTCACCCATCAGTTAACTGATCCACATGACACAACCCACCTGTGAAGGAAGAAGACTTTCATTCTTTACTACTTAGGTTCAATGGGTTGGCTATGAACATACTATGTAATTCTTTGCTGTTATAAAAATAGCCCCTTATGTTTTCTCCATTCTTGAGAGAATGAACTTTCCTAGAGATAAAAAGAGTGAATCAGAAACCAGAGTTGACTGACCTTATTTTTCAACTCATAAGATACATGGATGAGAGTCATTTCACTACTTAGCATTCTTGTTTATTTAATTGTAAAATGTGAACAATGACACCTCACATTCACAATGGGCAAAAAATTCTAATTTTTTTTAACCAGACATTGATTTTCTACTGCATACAGATTATGCATAAATTGTTCCTCAAGTAAGAAGGCAGGACAATTAAAGAGAGTTGCTCATAAGCCATAAACTTCAAAACATTCAAAACCAACTCTTTGTAAGTCTCGTGTGGTCCTGTACGTAGCTTATCTCTACTTCCCAAATGCCTTGTGTTAATATTAGAGTTCCATTTTATTCTGATTCTTTAATGTAAATTTTCTTCCTTCACCCATGCAGATCATAAAGCACAGGGAGACAGCTCAGAACATTCCCTTAGGGTAAATGCTCAGAAGAACACTTACCAGTTCCTAGGTTGTCAAAAAGGCGTTGTTGTCAGCAAAATGTACAGTAGAGTCTGAAGATAAGTTCAAGGTTCAGTTACTACAGTGGCTTTAAAAGTTTTTAGGAAAATGTCAATACTAATATGAGGTGATGCTTTCTCTTATCTACTTTGATGGACCTCTTTGAGCTTGAAAGATAACTACTTTATTTATAACTCTAATACTTCCCAGATTGTGGTTTGGAAAGAGAGGATAAAACAAAGAAAAACCTAAAATGTTCTATATAACTAAGAAAGAAAAATGTGACATTTTTAAGAATAGTACAAGAGAAACGGGATCATAGGAAAACAAAACAAGGCCCCACAATATCATGGGAGGATGTGGGCATCCAAAGGGACATGGCAAGTGAGAAAGCCATGCATTAATTGATGGTAGGAAGTTTCTAAGAACAGTGACAATATTTAAGTTGAACAGTGATTAATATTTTAGTTTTTTTCTAGGCTCTCTGCAGTCACCAAAACTTCAATGAAAGATTGCCAGATGCAACAATCACGTAGTGGAACTATAGAAAAGTGAAGGAAGAGAGATGTAGTCCAGCATGAGATGAAGCCAAGCAAGAAAAAAAGACAGCAGCAGCAAATTCTCAGAGTAACAGCTAAGACAAGAGAATTGGCATTGACTGAAATAGACAGGAGGTGATACGATTAGGCTTTGTCCTGCTGTAAAGATACAGAAAATGTGGAAGTGACTTTGAAATGGGTAACAGGCAGAGGTTTGTACTTCCTAGAGACTTGGAGAGCTCAGAAGACAGGAAGATGTGGGAAAGTTTGGAACTTCCTAGAGACTTGTTGAATGGCTTTGACCAAAATGCTGATAGTGATATGGACAATAAAGTTCAGGCTGAAGCGATCTCAATGGAGATAAAGAACTTGTTGGGAACTGGAATAAAGGTGATTCTTGCTATGCTTTAGCAAAGGTAACCTCTTCTCCCCATTACCCAGGAATTAGCAAAGCGTCATTTTGCCCCTGCCCTAGAGATCTGTGGAGCTTTGAACTGGAGGGAGATGATTTAGGGTATATGGCAGAAGAAATTTCTAAGCAACAAAGCATTCAAGATGTGACTTAGGTGCTCTTAAAAGCATTCAGTTTTATGTATTAACAAAAATATGATTTTGAATTGGAACTTATGTTTAAGGGGGAAGCAGAACATAAAAGTTTAGAAAATTTGCAGCCAGACAATGCAATAGAAAAGAAAAACCAATTTTCTGAGGAGAAATTCAAGCTAGCTGCAGAAATTTGCATAAGTAATGAGGAGTCAAATGTTAATTTCCAAGACAATGGGGAAAATGGCTCCAAGGCATGTCAGAAAACTTCATAGCAGGTCCTCCCATCACAGGACCAGAGGTTCAGGAGGAAAAAATAGTTTCATGGGCTGTGGCCAGGGCCTTGCTGCTTTGTGCAGTTTTGAGACTTGGCGTCATGCATCCCAGCTGTGGCTAAAAGGGGCCAAGATACAGGTCAGGTTTCAGAAGGTGCAAACCCTAACCCTTGACATTTCCACATGGTGTTGAGCCTGCAGGTACACAGAAGTCAAGAAATAAGATTTGGGAACTTCACCTAGATTTCGGAGGATGTAAGGAAATGCCTGAATATTGAGGCAGAAGTTTTCTGCAGGGGTGGAGCCCTCATGGAGAACCTCTGCTAGGGCAGTACAGAAGGAAATGTGAGATCAAAGCCCCCACACAGAATCCACACTGGTGCACTGCCTAGTGGAGCTGTGAGAAGATGGCCACCATCCTCTAGACCCCAGAATGGTAGATCCACCAACAGCTTGCACTGTGTGCCTGGAAAAGATGCAGATACTCAACGCCAGCTCATGAAAGCAGCCAGGAAAGGGGTTGTATCCTGAAAAGCCATAGAGGTGGAACTGCCCAAGGCCATGGGAGCCCACATTTTGCATCAGCATGACCTGGATGTGAGACATGGAGTCAAAGGAGATCATTTCAGAGCTTTAAGATTTGACTGTCCTGCTGGATTTCAGACTTGCATGGGTCCTGTAGCCCCTTTGTTTTGGCCAATTTCACCCATTTGGAATGCATGTATTTACCAAACGCCTGTACCACCATTGTATCTAGGAAGTAACTAACTTACTTTCGATTTTACAGGATCATAGGCAGAAGGGACTTGCCTTGTCTCACATAAGACTTTGGACTTGGACTTTTGGGTTAATGCTGGAATGAGTTAAGACTTTGGGGGACTGTTGGGAGGCATGGCTGATTTTAAAATATGAAAGGGACATGAGATTTTGAAGGGGCCAGAGCAGAATGATATGGTTAGGCTTTGTGTCCCTACCCAAATCTCATCTTGAATTGGAATCCCCATAATTCCCATGTGTCAAGGGAGAGACGAAGTGGAGGTAATTGAATCATATGGGTGGTGTCCCCCGTGCTTTTCTCATGATAGTGAGTGAGTTCTCACAAAATCTGATGGTTTTATAAGGGGCTCTTCCCCCTTCACTTGGCACTTCTCCTTTCTGCCACCTTATGAAGAAGGTGCCTTGCTTCCCCTTCACCTTCCATCGTGATTGTAAGTTTCCTGAGGCCTCCCAGCCATGCTGAACTGTAAGTCAATTAAACCTCTTTCCTTTATAAATTATCCAGTCTTGGGTATGTCTTCATTAGCAGTGTGGGAATGGACTAATACAGAAGGTAACCTCTTCTCCCCATTACCCAGGAATTAGCAAACATATTAACGAGAGCACCAGTGGGCTCCTCCAGGTAGGTAGTATGGATGTCACTATACTCTTTTTGGATTTTAAAATAAAGTCAGCCCAAGAAAACTAGAGGACAGGGAGGTAGCAGGGTAATCCAGCCTGATACCATTCAAACATAGTTTACAGTTTATTTCTCCAGCAGCCATTACATATTGGTATGAACAAATTAGATTCATGAGCCATTTAATTGAAAAAAATATCACTTTAGATAATATACTTTCGCTGCATTCCCTTCATCACATTAATTGTCCTCCAAAAAATGGGTGTTATTCCGTAGATGATGGTTATACTAATGAATTCCAAGTATAATTATGATAAAATCATTTGTTCTAATTTAATACATTTAGAATATGTGGTAATTAAAAGAAGAAATGAGCTAAGTTTATCATATCAATATTAAAGAGTCACCAAGAAATTGGTAATAAAAATATAGATATAGCAAATTTTATTTCTTTTGTTTGTTTGTTTTGAGACTGGGTCTCCCTCTGTCACCGATGCTGGAGTGCAGTGGCAAAATCATAGCTCACTGCAGCCTCAACCTCTCAGGCTTAATCAATCCTCTCATCTTTGCCTCCTGAGTACCTGGAACTATAGGCACACACCACCATGTCCAGCTAACTGTTGTATTTTTTGTAGAGACAAGGTTTCACCATGTTGCCCAGGTTAGTCTCAAACTCCTGGGCTCAAGTGACCCACCCACCTTGGTCTCCCAAAGTGCTGGAATTACAGGCCAAATTTTGTTTCTTAAAAAACAATTTAAAGCCTTGCAGATGTATTGCAAACAACTCATTAGTGTCTGTGCCAGGTGTAGCTAATTGTCTGGGCTGGTGGTTTACTGTATTAATTATACTGGGTTGAATAGTGTTCCCCAAAATTCAGATCCATTCAGAACCTCAGAATGTGACCTTATTTGTAAATAGGGTCTTCACAGATGTAATTAGTTAAGATGAGGTCATACTGGACTAGGGTGGGCCCTAAGCCAATGAGTCATGTCCTTATACAGAAGAGAGAAATTTGAACACAGGGAGATACATGGAGAGAATGTCATGTGAAAACAGAAGCAGAGATTAGAGTGATACATCTAGACGACAGAACACCGAAGATTGCTGGCAAATACCAGCAGCTGAGAGTCATGAAACAGATTCTCTCTCAAGGTCTTCAGAAGGAACCAACCTGCCAGCTCTTGATTTCAGACTTCTAGTCTCTAGAACCATGAGAGAATACATTTCTGTTGTTTTAAGCCACACAGTTTGTGGTACTTCGTTACAGAAGTCCTAGGAAGCTAACCAATCATGAATTATTTCCACTTGATATAAAGGACATTTAATAACAACATATTTTATTAAGCTTATTTGTATAACTATAAATTTAGAATGAACTAACTTTCTTTGAATAAATTTTGCAATTCAGTGTTTTCATTCATTCAGATCAATGTTCTATCAATTATCCACGTTAGTAAGTAAGGTTCTATTAATATTTTCAGTTTTGAGATATCTTTTTTTTCTAAAGAAATGGCACCCTGTTGTTTCAACTCTTGCCTACTGCCTTTCAGATGAATTTTCAGATAATGGAGATCTAGAAATCAAAGCAAGAGACTGTCACTTACTTATCTTTCTAGGACTATTTTATTTCTGGTTTAATTATTATGGAAGTCACCCTTTAAATCCCTGATTCAGTAATCAAATGAGTTTCTCAGAATAACAGATTTCATACATGGTATTCAGGTCACCTACTCATTACATCTAATTTGATGGCATTGGAGTGGAGGAGTCATTCCCTAACAGTGTTCAGTCACTTGCTTTCCCTGTGAAGTTGACTGAATTTTAAAACTGTTGGTCAGGAGCAATTTTTTAGTCAATTCTTTAAGAAGGCAAAGAAAAAAAAAAGGTTCATTGACTTTTTTTGCTGTTGTTAGTCTTTTTGCCAGAGGGTATCAGTGTAAAGTGGCAATCACACAATTCTTAAAGGCTAAAATAAAAATTGTTTTTAATATTAGCATTGTCTAGCCAGTACTTTCCACCTTGCTTACAATGCAGCACACATAGAAAAGAATTGCATTCATACAGCAAAACAGGGTAACTGGAAAAGGATGTAACTGACCCGTTCACAGCACAGTGTTGTACAGTGAATCAACAGATAGGCAGGAAGCTCTGACCAGGCTTTCTATTAAAGTATTGGGAAACACATTGCTTTCTGTGTATGCTTTTTACTGTGGGCTTATTTAAATCTCTCAAATAAGATAACTAAAAGACAATTCCCCTATTCCTTAAATTCAGCAGGATTTGCTTATTTAATAGCATTATCTGCAAACTTATGACATACATCAAATATAAATATCTTCATATAATTTATTTACCTTTTCTTCTCTTTTAACTCAGCGCATGTAAGGCCTTTTTTACCCTCCATTTGATGAAGGGTGAAGTGACAAATCCAATGCAGGACTACAAATCTTGCATAATAGTCATGTAGACTCTAAATCAATCTTGCATTAAAATCATAAATCTTTACAAAGGTGCAGCCATTATAGGAATGATCCAAAACAGTTGTAAAATGTTCATTCCAAGCATTTGTGCTAATAGCTATGTGATATAATTTATCCTGCTCTTCTTATAAGCAAAGTATCATCCTTATATTTCCTTTAGAAAATATTACAAATTAACTTTCCCTCAACCACACCAAGTTTGCATCCCCACAGAGGTCAGATAACTCACTAATTTACCTAATTTATTTATTTTTTCTGACTATATTGACTGGTTCTTATTTTGTCTTCATGACACCATGCTCAAGAGCTAGCAATGGGGGAGAAAAAAGAGGAGGATTTGAGGTATGAAGAGAGAAAGGAGAGACAGATTCGATTCAAGAATAAAATCAAAATTAAACTTGAAATTCCTAATATTCTAAAATATTTATGAGTTATATATTCCTATTCTTAAGAAAAATATATTCATAACAATCTAGTCTCCTAAAGATAAATTCTGTTTATATATATATATAAATTTAAATGAATACATTCATGAAGAATATATCCATATATAGAATATATTCATGAATAATATATTGTTAAGAATTTTTTATAATCAAAAACATGTCTTTATGCCTGTCAGTCTTTCCCTCCCTCTGGCCCTTGGTCTTCAGCTGCAGTAGAAACAAAAAGAACATTATTTAGTAAACTGGGGGAGAAGCAAATGGATCATTATTTTAAAAGCTATCATGAAGACAAAATGAAAACCAGTTAACTAAAATTAATATAGTTAAAAGAAACAAGGTCATTTGGCCAATTGGCCACTTGATGAACTGACTTTTGGCTTATTGACCTAGAGCTCATTTCTACATAAGCCTGGCTCTTCTAAAGTGACATCAGCCAAACTTTTAATAGAAATTGGTGGGAGCCAGGTTATGCTTCGTTTATGTAGATAATGGTCTTCTCATCTGGCCCCTATTAGAGCATGTTTTGATATAATCCTCATTTGAGATCCGTTTATTCTTGACATCTTTCTCTCTCCACCCAGTTATTATCTTATCACCTAGTTTTTTTTTTCTGTTCATTGAGAACAGATTTACAGAGAGAATCACAATAAATAACCTTCTATCCAAATGATAGATGCAAGAAGCAGATAAAAAGGAGAGTCCGTGGAGCATCCTCAACCCACCAGCACACTGGGAGAATGGGGTGGAGCTAAGGGAAGTTCATGCCTTGTGCAGTGGGGAGGAGCCTGGCCTCTTTAGCTCAAGAGTGGTGGCTTGGAATTCAGTATGTGAGATGGCAGCCTGCTTGCAGGATCCCCTCTCATTTTGCTGACAGTTTTTTGTTCCTTTTTTCCTTTTCACCCAATAAATTCTTCTCTACTCAATCTTCAAGGTGTCCGCATGCCTAATCTTTCCTGATTGTGTGACAAGAACCCAGTTTTAGCTGAATGGAGAAGCAAAGTTTTGCATCACAAATAGCCTAATACCTCCAAAGTCCCCAGAGAAATTATATTACACTTAACCTATTTTCTTTGAGGGTGACAGGATCCAACCATTTGGCATGTAGATCTTTGTTAACAGAACTAACATTTGTTTGCTTTTGGCATTCATCTGATCTTTGACAAGCCTGACAAAAACAAGAAATGGGGAAAGGATTCCCCTATTTAATAAATGTTGCTGGGAAAACTGGCTAGTCATATGTAGAAAGCTGAAACTGGATCCTTTCCTTACAACATTATACAAAAATTAATTCAAGATGGATTAAAGACTTACATGTTAGACCTAAAACCATAAAAACCCTAGAAGAAAACCTAGGCAATACCATTCAGGACATAGGCATGGGCAAGGACTTCATGACTAAAACACCAAAAGCAATGGCAACAAAAGCCAAAATTGACAAATGGGATCTAATTAAACTAAAGAGCTTCTGCACAGCAAAAGAAGCTATCATCAGAGTGAACAGGCAACCTACAGAATGGGAGAAAATTTTTACAATCTACCCATCTGACAAAGGGCTAATATCCAGAATCTACAAAGAACTTAAACAAATTTACAAGAAAAAAATCAAACAACCCCATCAAAACGTGAGCGAAGGATATGAACAGACACTTCTCAAAAGAAGACATTTATGCAGCCAACAGATACATGAAAAAATGCTCATCATCATTAGCCATCAGAGAAATGCAAATCAAAACCACAATGAGATACCATCTCACACCAGTTAGAATGGCGAGCATTAAAAAGTCAGGAAACAACAGGTGCTAGAGAGGATGTGGAGAAATAGGAACACTTTTACACTGTTGGTGGGACTGTAAACTAGTTCAACCATTATGGAAGACAGTGTGGCGATTCCTCAAGGATCTAGAACTAGAAATACCATTTGACCCAGCCATCCCATTACTGGGTATATACCCAAAGGATTATAAATCATGCTGCTATAAAGACACATGCACACATACGGTTATTGCAGCACTATTCACAATAGCAAAGACTTAGAACCAACCCAAATGTCCATCAATGTTAGACTGGATTAAGAAAAAGTGGCACATATACACTGTGGAATACTATGCAGCCATAAGAAAGGATGAGTTCACGTCCTTTGTAGGGACACGGATGAAGCTGGAAACCATCATTCTCAGCAAACTATCACAAGGACAGAAAACCAAACACTGCATGTTCTCACTCATAGGTGGGAATTGAACAATGAGAACACTTAGACACAGAGTGGGGAACATCACACAACAGTGCCTGTGGTGGGGTGTGGGGGAGGGGGGAGGGATAGCATTAGGAGATATACCTAATGTAAATGTCGAGTTAACGGGTGCAGCACACCAACATGGCACATGTATACATATGTAACAAACCTGCACATTGTGCACATGTACCCTAGAACTTAAAGTATAATTAAAAAAAAGAAAGAAAAAAGAAAAAATAAATAAATAAATAAAATTTGTCCACTTTTATTTCTTATCAAAATATTTAACCAAAAACAAATGCACTATAGCAAATTCCACACTTTTATTTAGGCCTCAAAACTATTTTACTCATAGAAATAAATTGTTATTTAATTTTTATTTCTCAGCTTTTGGCCTATGTTTGTATATGTGGGTCATTTTACTATTTTTAATAAGCTTATTGATAAAAATTAGAAAAAAAAGTTCCTCATAATTTTCTATTCTGTTTGCTGAAATTTTGCTTTTTAATGGCCCATTTATTTTCTTATTTTTTTTTTAAGTAGAAATGCTGGTCTCAAACTCCTGGGCTCAAGTGATCCTGTCGCCTCAGACTCCCATAATGCTGGGATTACAGGCATGAGTCATCACACCCAGCCTTAATGTCTCATTTGGTTTTTAAGCAAAAATCCTGCTGATTCTTCATTATAACATCCTATTATAGTTTTTGGAGTGGACATATCCACCTTCATTCTCTCATCTCTGACAATCTGATAAATATAATTGCCTTAATGGGAATCTTTGTGGTGCAGAAGAATCCTTCCCCAAAGCTGATCCTTATATGCTTAAGTTACATCAATGATGACATGTTTTCTGAGTTCTCTAATTTTATAATAATCAGTTGTATTTCTCTAACATTCCGGGACTCATATTTCAAAAGCAAATTTTAAATTTATATAAAGTATTTACTATCTTTTCATTTCTCTTTTTTTTTTTTTTTTTGAGAAAGAGTCTAACGCTGTGACCCAGGTTGGAGTGCAGTGGGGTGATCATAGCTCACTGCAGCATCAACCTCCCAGGCTAAAGTGGTCCTCCCACCTCAGCCTCCTAAGTAGCTGGGAATACAGACACACAAAACCATGACCAGATTTTTGGTTGTTTTTTAGAGATGGGGTTCCATTATGTTGGCCAGGCTGGTCTCAAACTCCTGTCTTGGCCTCCCAAAAGGCTGAGATTAGAAGTGTGAGCCACTGTGTCCAGCCTATACACCATCTTTTAAAAACATATGCATTAAAATGTTTTATAACACATCTCAATTTTCAAATCAAGATGATAAATTGTAAAATGTAATTTCACAGTAGCAGAAAAAATAGAAATATCTATTTTAAAAATGAATTCAGCATTTGCACCTAAAATAAATAAATGACATCAATAAAATATGTAAATAAAAGATTTTCTATTAAATATTTCTATTATTCTAGTAAATATAATTTCAATGTACCATTTGATGTGTAGAAGTTTTAACATTTGCAATCATAAAGACAAAATAAAAACTGGTTAACCAAAATTAATGTACCTAAAAGAAGCAAGGTCATCTGGCAAACTGGCCATTTGGTAAATTGGCTCCCACAGTTTTTATTGTGAGGTGCTTGTAAGATTTGAAATATCACCAAAGCAGAATAAATAGCTTCTTTATCTAATCACAACAGGCAGAGCAGCTGTTTATAAAAATGCATTTCAAAATGTTCTACCACCTCTGTCTCAGAATTTTGCAAACTGAACTAGCATTTTTTGCCTCTTTTTTAACAGACAAAAGTGGCAGTATTTTAAATTTTAATGTTTTTAAATTTAATGCTCAAATAAAATGATATGTTGTTCTTAGTTATATATATTTATAACTTCTATATATAAAACAAGACATTGAATTTTTTTAATATTCAACTTTCATCTAATACCAGAATTGAAAGGGGAAAGGCCAGTACAAAGAGCTATTCTTGGGTCTGGAGTAGAAAAGACTTGGTTCCAACTGTGGAATTATTTCTGAGTCATGTTTTTATAATCTATCCCATAAAAATATTGTACTTATGAATATAAGATGCTGACATTCCTCTGTCCACAATAACAGAAAGGGAGAACCAAGGAGAGAAATTAGATCAGGATTATGGTTTAAGTGAGGTGTTTATTGAAGACAGGTCTACGCCTAGAGTAGTAAGACTTTTGGACAGGCAATCATCCAAATAAATATTCTTTAAAAATGTACTTGATTTTTATTCATCGGAGCAGTTTTAGTTAATTGAGTACTACTCTAGTTGATAGGTGTGAAAGAAATCCAAGTAGAAGTATGTTAAAAAATAAAGAAAAAGATATTTGATATGATTTCAATCTTCTTAAATTTGTTAAGACTTGTTTTTTGGCCTAACATATGAGCTATAGTGGAGAACATTGTGCTTGAGAAGAACTTGTGTTCTGTTGCTGCTGGATGGAATGTTCTATGTATGTCTGTTAGTCTTTAACTTTTGACAATTTAATTATAATGTGTGACAGTATGAATCTCTTTGGAGTCATCCTATTTGTTCTCTGGGCTTCCTGAATTTGTATTTCTATTTCCCTCCCCAGGCTTGAGAAGAAGATGGGAAAGTGCAGCCAGGGTATAAAAATGCCTCTTAAAACAAGTTGGACTATGCTAAAGAGCAGAGGAAAGGATAGTAAATGGTGGAAGATGTGTGGCCTGAGCTCTGTTTGTGCTAGCGGTAGTATTATACTAATGCATGAGAAAAAGAAAACAAGGTTTTTCTACCCCATCTTTGCATGTAACTTGAAAGAGAGAAGAATAGAATACTGAAAAGAAAGGTTTGAGGTCCATGATGAGCAAGGTGATTAGAAGAGAGAATCCAGGTGATCTAAATGACCTCAAATTCCCAGGGAGAGGGACACCATAATTCAGAGTGCTAAAAGAATTTATCATCAAAATGCCATATTGTCGACACCAATTCTTAAAAACATACAAATACCCAAAGAGGAAATCTGGGAAAATGTTCTTTCAATTGTCCAGAGTCAAAGATGGATTCTGCTGAGCCGTGAGCTCAAAATCGATGACATGCAAAATGCTAGCCTAGATCATTGAAAGCAAGGTGTGTAAATGTTTTCAAAAGGAATACAAAATCATCAAGCCCCAGCCTGTGGTCACTTAGAATAAATTGTAGATTGTGTAGATTTTACTTTAATTCATTCTTTGATAGAGCACTAGACTAGCAAGTCAAAAAACTGGGATACATGCCGACGAGTTTGATAAACTACACTCCACAGGCAAAATTCAGCTGGCTGCTGATTTTTGTTTAAATCAAGTGTTATCAGAATAAAGCCATACTTATTTGTTTACACTAATTTAAGACAGTGTGGTTCTGTTCTGTCTCTCTCTTTCTCTCTCTCTCTCCTCTTTTGGTTATGGACTGAATGTTCGTGTCTCCCCCAAATGCATATGTTCAAGCCCTAACCATCAATGTGGCTATATTTGGAAATGGGGCCTCTTAAGGAAGAAATTAAAGTTAAATGAAGTCATATGCGTGGTGCTCTGATCCAATAGGATTAGTGTCCTTAAAAGAAGAGACACCAGAGAGCTTGCTCGCTATGTTCCCTCACACTCACAAACCAAGAAAGGCCATGAGGACATAGCAAGCAGGTCTACAAGCCAGGAAGAGGCCTCACCAGGAATCTAACAGACTGGCACCTCAATCTGAGACTCCAAAACTGTCAGGAAATACATTTCTGTTTTGTAAGCCAGTCAGTCTGTGGTACCTTGTTGCCATAGCCCAAGCCAACTAATTCATTCTTTCTCAACCAATGAGGAACTGAGGCCTCCAACCAGAATCTCAAGCCCCAGACAAGCATTCAGCTGACTGAATGCCTAGCCAACATTTGGCCTGAAACCTCATGAAAGATCCTGAGCCAGACTACCCCAACTAAACCCCTCCCAGGTTCCTGCCCCTCAGAGACTGTGTGAGAGAAGATTTTTTTGTTTAAGCTATTAAGTTTTTATTTCTTATGAATCATGTTTATGAACCCTACAAATAAATCCAAGACTAGCTCTTTTGTATGTCTACTCTTTCTCCCAAATCACTTGTAAATCTCAAGTTGTTGAGAATAAAAATATTTAGGGACATAAATTTTAAAATGCTTCAAGTCTCTTTTTCCTCCACTTTATCTTCCACGCTGTCAGCAGTTTTTTTTTTTTTACAATACAAATTTTGCCCCCATTGTATTCCTACTTAAAATCCTCTGATAGCTCTCTATTATCTACAGTTGAAAACCCAGATTTTCAGAAGCACACACTATATTCCTGCATGGCCTAACTCCACATTTTTCCCATGCATCATTCCTCCTGGCCATAACATTTCCAGATTCCCGTTTTGCTTGATAATAAGCTCTCTAAGCAAAGGGACATAGTCTCATTCATTATTGTTTTTCCATGGCCCAGTATAGTGCCTGGCATATGGTTGATGCTAAATAAATTTTTCTGCTCAGCCAAAAATGGTCCATCTTGCTTCCTCCAAATGTTTTTCCTGTCTCCATCTACCAAAAAGCTATTATCCAATCATCACCTTTTGACATCAGTGTCATCTCTCCTCTTGATTCCTAATCTCATATAAATAGTAAGAGGTGTTCTCTACATAATATTTACAGCATATATATCATATTTTAACATTTTGTTTACATTCAAGTCTTCCCCAGTGGACCTAGGGTGGTTGTCATCATTCATTTTTCTTGGCTGTAAGGATTGTTGAATCAAACTGAAATCCTTAGCCCTACACCTTGAAGCTTTGGATTCAAAGATCCAAGTCACATTGTTTCCTGAGTCTCCTTATATCAGCCCTCTCGACCTCACTGAAGGGAAACTCTCCAATTTAAATTTCTTATTTTCTCCCTGATTTGGGCTACACTGTAAGATTGTGCTTCTCCAGGTGGCATAACTCCTTAGTTTTGACTAGTTACCTTCTGTGGCTCCCCTATAAGATCATAATCCTGACTTAAATATCAACCTAGAGAACACAAGCCCCACTTATATTTTTCATTCACACTATCCCTCCTCCCAGGTTAGAGAGCTACAGAGAGAATCAGAGAGCCCACTGCCCATTCCCCTGGCTCCCAAGAACTGACCACTGCTTGACTTTCAGCTCACTCACTGTGGTCTACCCACCAAATTTAATATGAGATACCAGTTGTAGCTGCATTAAAACTGAGCCTGTTAGTACCTTGAACAATAGGGATGTCTGGCCTTGTTCTGTGGAGAAGTCAACCATTATAGTCAGGACTGCTTATGTTCAGCTCTAAAGACAAGAAACAAAGCCATTTCCTCTCCTTTTTTCTTTCTATCCACCAACTCTGAGCTGCAAAAAGCACAGAGGATCGATCATGCCTCACACGATCTCAAAATTTGGCAAACAAGTCTCAGCGAGGCATTTGACAAAGCCTTTTCTGGCATTATCACACATACAAAAAAGGCAGAGATATAAGTTATATGCAGGAACAATCAAGTGGACAAATATATAGTTAAGTATTCATACCCAAAGGTACTGAACAATGTGCTATGTGTCAATCTGGAGTTTTCTAGTCACATGTCACATAGCTCAGTCTTCAGTCTTTCCCCATTCAATGTGGTAATTCCTACTGAGAATAACATTACAAACTTTATTACTTTTGTTCACATAGCCAAGTCATTGTAAATGCATTAGAGAATGGGATCATGATTCCATAAAATCTCAGAATGTTAAAATAATATACCATATATTTTCAAGATAAAATTTAATTAGAAAAATGTAAAATCCTACACTTGGATAAATGTTAATGCATTATTACAAGTTGGAGACTATGATTTAATGACAGACCTTATGAAAAGAGTAAAGGGCTTTCATTATATACAATTCCCTAATATGTAAATACTTTTGTTTGGCTCATGATTTCATTTGCATAGAAGAGACTCTAGTACATAGCAGGCATTCAATAAATATTGCTTGAATGAAGGAGTCAGGTACAAGTTCCAGCTACTACAAAAAGCCATTAAAAGCTTAGGCTGCATTAATAGAAATACAAACAATAGAACAAGGGAGGAGACAGTCCTGTTCTGCTCTCTATAGCCAGACCACAGCTATATTAGGTTTATGTCCAGTTCTAAACAGCATACTTTAGAGTGGATGTAAAAAGGCAGATTACCCAGAGGAAAGTTGCCAAAGTGACAATGACACTCATTTTGCAGCAGGAATCCCAAAAAAACATGACTCCAGGTGAGGCACAGGGTGACCGTCTTTAAATGTACAAAGATCCATTTATGGGGAGCAAGGGTTAGCTTCACATTGGTGGTGCCAATGGGGAGAACTGACACAAGTGACGGGAAGAAAGAATTCAGAACAACATAAAGAAAAGATTTTCTAAAACTAAGACCTATTTAAAGATGCTGGAGATGTCTTAAGAACTAGGGAGTTCCTACATTTGGAAGTGGTAACAGACAGCCACTAGTCAAAAATGTTAGAAGGGGGAATAAGAACATCATGAATTATCAGCCTAGGAAATATTTAAGATACCTCCAATTCCTTGTTCTTTAAATGATTTCAAAATAAGATAATATCAAAGATGAAATAATGTTCTTCTAACTCACAGAAACCATGGAAAAGTAAAGCAAAAAATACAAGTTCATGTATCAGTAAGTCATATGTATCTCAAGAATATGGGCCTGAAGAAATGTGATGAATTAGAACAATATAGTGATATGAATGTACTTGATGTTCAGCTGAAGTTTTCTCTAAATATACTTATAAAGAAATAGACAAACATTTAAAATACTTTATTGTAATGATTTATTAATCTACCAATAAAAATGGTAATTAAAATGATAAATTTATAAAATATTTATGTAAAAAGTGACCTTGGCTGTTAAGACATAATTTAACCCAATTTGTTTTTGTTTTTGTTTCTGTTTTTTGTTTTTTGTTTTTGAGACAGGGTCTTATTGTCACCCCGGCTGGAGTGCAATGGCATGATCACAGCTCAATGCAGCCTAGACCTCCCGGGCTCAATCAGTCCACCCACCTCAGCCTCCTAAGTAGCTGGGACTACAGGCATGTGCCACCATGCCCTGGTGATTTTTGTATTTTTTGTAGAGACAGGGTTTTGCCATGTTGTCTAGGCTGGCCTTGATCCACCTGCCTCAGCCTCCCAAATTGCTGGAATTACAAGTGCGAGCCGCCATGCCCAGCCTAAGCTAATTTGTTATTAAAACTCTCCAAAGTGTCTGTCTAGACTCTAACTAAACACCTACAGTGTTGAGATATCTATAACCTCAATCCATTTTGAAATCAGTTATAACTGTTTGAAATTATTTTTTGTTATCATCCACCTATTCATCCTACTCCTGTCCTCCAGAGCTTCACAAAACTAGTCCAAACCTTGCCACACATTACCTTCTTGCAAATAATCACAGATAGCAAGTCCCCAATTCATTCATTCTCCAAGTAAAATATCTTCAATTCTATCATGGCTGTCCCCAGACAGTGGCCCAAAAACACACTCAATGCCTAGCCATATGCACTCTTCAATTTAATTAAAGAACCTCCTGAGGTGAGTTTTCCAGAACAGAACACAATACCCTGGAGAGTTCTTTCCAGGATGAAGTTGAGAAGCTCTGTTCCAGTCTTCACCAACGATATTCAACTTCTATTGTGGAGATCACAAAAAAACCCTGACATATTGAGTATATTTTCAACTCTAACTAAAATACCTCTCACTAATAATATAAATCATCATATTACCTGGTAGTGATCAACACAAGGAGTTATATTAGTGCAAAAGGTCCCCAACATATTGTTTTTGAAAACATGGGAAGTATAACTGAGTCAGTCAATAATGTGTTGGAGGCAAATAATATTATCCCCATTTACAGATGAGACACAGATTGAAGGGCTTACTCAAGGTTACATAGTCAAGAAGAAACAGAAATGAGTCTAGAATTATCTAAATCTACTGTGCCACATTTTTCACTTCACCATGCTTCCTGTATGTTTTTCATGACCTCTATCTATAGCATAATTTGTAACAAATAAAATTATCCATAGAGTAGCATAGAATTAGAGTAAAAAATAAGTCTACTTTTTATGTATTTATTTATTTTTTGAGACAGGGTCTCACTGTTATCATCCAGGCTGTAGGGCAGTGGCACAACACAACTCACTGCAACGCTGACCTCCTGGACTCAAGTGATCTTCCCACCTCAGCCTCCTAAGTAGCTGGGATCACAGGCAGAGCGCCCACAACATTCAATTAAATTTTTTGTTTGTTTGTTTCACTTTGTAGCGGTAAGTTCTTGCCATGTTGGTCTCTAACTCCTGGGCTCAAAGCAACGGGTTTACAGGCACCATGCCCAGCCAAGAAATAGGTTTACACATATAACTCTATTGCTTGCTTTTTACCCTTCTGCATACATCTTAAAAATATTTGAAGAAAAGATTTGGGGCTTGTTTAGTACTTCCCAAGAACAAGATTCTTCTTATAATATTTAAAAAGGAAATTATAATTAATTCAAGCTGACAGGTGATTTTTCTTAAGGGTCTAGAATGATGAGAGTAGCATTTTATGCTAAGGCTTTAACATGACAAACAAAATAAGAATAATTATGTGGTTGAACTAAAAATTATGAACTACAGATTCAAAATTTATTAGCATTGACCTAAAAGCCATTTAAAAGATTGAAAGTGATACCAGCTTTCACCAGGTTTTCAGTTCCTTTCCAGAAGGGAATTGACAGATCCCTTAGAGCCATAAACCTATGTAAGCAGAGAGGATTCAAGTGGGATCCTGCTTGACACAGATTGCGCCTGTTGCCTAGAAAGTAAGAGGAAGGTCCCTGAACTACAGAACTCAAGGAACTTCATGTGTGTAATTTATACACCACCCAATGGCCCCAAAAGTCCTATTTTCTCATAAGCTCGGAGACTTGTAGGTGCATCTGCAATGATTTTTATTCATTTCTGAGATATGTTGTGGGATTATGTCACAAAGTTCACTTGATAGAAAACCATATTCCCTCGAATTCACTGAGATATCTGGATCTGGTTCTGTTGCAAATTTATAGAGGAAAAAAAGTGCAAATCTGTCATTTCCACATAGTAAGTATCCCCCAAGATGGGGGACTCTAGTCGGGTGTGTCAGGGTGACTATCGTGGTTAGGAAAAGATGCTTATTTTGTAATACAATTAGCTAGAATAGCTCAACATCTCACCTTCCCGGCTGATGACACAATCCATGGTCATCTGAAGGTCTGGCATTTTACCTTGTCATATTTTACTGCATTCTCTTTCATTCTGTTCTCAGGAGCCTCATTTGGCCCTATTTGGCCTTGATTCACAGTGCACAACCTGAAAACAATTTCTCATATAAAATATTTATTTGGCTGTACAAGAAAATTTTTCCTTATAGTTTTATTCTCTCAAACACAATCAAAGAAGATGCACTCTTGTTCCTGAAGTATTTAATCACTGTTCCTCTAAAGATGGGTAGCTTGCAACAACCACAGCAATTTATTTCCCCCAATTTATTTTGGAATACTTTGAAATCATAAAAAGAGCATTGTATTTAAAATTAGAATGTGTGACCTTGAATCCAGTCTCTGCCACTAGCTTGCTAAAAGTACCTTCACTTCTCTACTCTGAGTCTGGGTTTTGTTCTCTTTTGGGTATGAAAACAATACCCATTTTAGAGCTATTGTGATGATAAAATTAGACAAATTACATTAAAACAAGGAGGCATTCATAATGTGTGAATTTTCTACCTAGAGATATAATTTTTGTGAATAAGGCTATTGACTTTGTAAATCCTCAGAATTCCAAACATACTGTATGTGTTCATCCAAGAAAAATTATTATCCAGGGAAGTAAAAGCCAATATAGTAACAGATAGTGATAAAATCTCTATTGAGTATATTGTTTTTATTAGTATTATTTATTTGGCAGATCATAATTGTGTATGTTTAAGGTGTACAATGTTATGTTTTGATATATGTATGCAATGCGACATGACTAAATCAAGCTAATTAATATATCCTTCACCTCACTTATCATATTTTGTGGGGAGATATTTGAAATTTACTCAGCCATTTTGAAATACACAATATATGATTATTCACTATAGTCACCTTGCTCTCCAATAGATCTCAAAGCTTAATGCCCGTGCCTAAAAAAAAAAACATTGTACCTCTTGACCAGCAACCACTCAACTATTCATTTTGTTGAATATTTTTGCATCTAGGTTCATCAGGTATATTGGACTATAATTTTCTTTTCTTGTAGTGTCATGGTCTGGTTTTGGTATCAGACCAATGCTGGCCTTGCAAAATGAGTTTTGAAGTATTCCTTCAACTTTAGTTTTTTGAAAGAGTTTGGGAAGGATTGGTATTAGTTTTTTTAATGTTGGTAGAATTTAGCAGTGAGGCCTTTAGGTCCAGGGATTTTCTTTGTTGGGAAATTTTTGATTACTGATTTAATCTCCTCACTTCTTATTGATCTGCTCAGATTTTCCATGCCTTCATTATTCAGTCTTGGCAGGTTGTATGTGTCTAGAAATTTAGCCATTTCCTCTCGGTTATGAAATTTGGGGGCATTTAGTTGTTCAAAATATTATTTTATGACCACTTGTATTTCTGTTTTAACATTTTCATGTCTCTTTTTCTCACTTCTTTTTCATTTCATTTGTGAATCATTGTTTTCTTAGTCTAGCTAAAGGTTTGACAATTTTATCTTCTAAAAAATCAAATATTAGTGTTGTTGATTCTCTTATTCTTTCTGTAGTTTTTATTTATGTATTAGTACATTCTCATGCTGTTATAAAGAAATACCCAAGATTGGGTAATTTATAAAGAAAAGAAGTTTAATTGACTCACAGTTCCACATGGCTGGAGAGGCCTCAGGAAATTTACAATGATGGCACAAGGCACCTCTTCATAGGGCAGCAGGAGAGGGAATGAGTGCAAGCAGGGGAAATGTGAGACGCTTATAAAATCACAACTCATGAGAACTCACTCACTATCATGAGAATAGCATGGAGGAACAACCCCCATGATTCAGTTACCTCCCACTGAGTCCCTCCCACGCGGGGATTATGGAGATTACAATTCAAGATGAGATTTGGGTGGGGACACAGCCAAACAATGACATTTTGTCCCAGCCCCTCCCAAATCTCATGTTCTCACATTTCAGAACACAATCATGTCTTCCCAACAGTCCTCTAAAGTCTTAACTCATTCCAGCATCAACCCAGAAGTCCAAGTCCAAAGTCTCATCTGAGATAAGGCAAGTCCCTACTGCCTATGATCCTGTAAAATCAAAAGCAAGTTACTTACTTCCTAGATACAATGGGGGTACAGGCATTCGGTAAATACACCCATACCAAATGGGAGAAATTGGCCAAAACAAAGGGGCTACAGGCAGCAAGGCAGTCAAATCTTAAAGCTCTGAAATCCAGCAGGCCAGTCAAATCTTAAAGCTCTGAAATGATCTCCTTTGACACCATGTCTCATATCCAGGTCATGCTGATGCAAGAGGTAGGTTCCCATGGTCTTGGGCAGCTCCACCCCTGTGGATTTTCAGGGAAGAGGCCCCCTCCCAGCTGCTTTCATGAGCTGGTGTTGAATGTCTGCAGCTTTTCCAGATGTATGGTACAAGCTGTTGGTGGATCTACTATTCTGGGGTCTGGAGGACAAGCAGCCCTCTTCTCACAGCTCCACTAGGCAGTCCCCCAGTGGGGAACTCTGTTTGAGGGCTCCAACCCCACATTTCCCATCCTAACTGCACTAGCAGAGGTTCTCTCTGAGAGCTCCACCCCTGCAGCAGACTTCTGCCTGGATATCCAGGTATTTCCATACATCCTCTGAAATCTAGGCAGAGGTTCCCAAACCTCAATTCTTGTCTTCTGAGCAACCACAGGAACAACAACACGTGGAAGTTGCCAAGGCTTAGGGCTTGCACCCTCTGAAGCAACAGCTTGAGCTGTACCTTGGGCCCTTTTAGCTACTGTTAGAGCTGAAGCAGCTGGGAAGCAGGTCACCATGTCCCGAGGCTGCATAGAGCAGGGGGGTCCTAGGCCTGGTCCACAAAACCACTTTTCCCCTCCTAGGCCTCCAGGCCTGTGACAGGAGGGGACGCTGTCAAGTCTCTGACATGCCCTGGAGACTTGTTCCCTATTTTCTTGGTAATTAACATTTGGATCCTCATTACTTATGCAGATTTCTGCAGCAGGCTTGAATTTTTCCCCAGAAAATGGGTTTTCCTTTTCTATCTCATCATCAGTCTGCGAATTTTCCACTCTTTTATGCTCTAATTTCTCTTGAATGCTTTGCTGCTTAGAAATTTCTCCTGCCAGGTACTCCAAATCATCTCTCTCAAGTTCAGTGTTCCACGGATCTCTAGTGCAGGGGCAAAAATGCCACCAGTCTCTTTGTCAAAGCATAGCAAGAGTGACCTTTACTCCAGTTCCCAACAAGTTCCTCATCTCCATCTGAAACCACTTCAACCTGGACTTCATTATCCATATCACTATTAGCATTTTAGTCAAAGCCATTCGACAAGTCTCCAGGAAGTTCCAAACTTTCCCACATCTTCCTGTCTTCTGAGCCCTCTAAGTACCTAAGAAGTTCCAACCTCTGCCTGTTACCCAGTTCCAAAGTTGCCGCCACATTTTTGGGAATCTTTTTTTTCTCAAGACAGAGTCTTGCTTTTTCACCCAGGCTGGAGTAAAGTGGCTGGATCTTGGCTCATTTCAACCACTGCCTCCCGGATTCAATGATTCTCCTGCCTCAGCCTCCTGAGTAGCTGGGATTACAGGCACATGCCACTGCGCTCAGCTAATTTTTTTGTATTTTTGGTAGAGATGGAGTTTCACCATGTTAGCCAGGCTGGTCTTGAATTCCTGACCTCATGATCTGCCCACCTCGGCCTCCCGAAGTGCTGGGATTACAGGCATGAGCCACCATGCCCAGACATTTTCAGGTATCTTCATAGCAGTTCCCCACTCCCTCACTACCAATTTACTGTATTAGTCTGTACTCACATTGCTATGAAAAAATACCCAAGACAGGGTAATTCATAAGCAAAAGAGGTTTAATTGACTCACAGTTTCACATGGCTGGTGAGGCCTCAAGAAACTTATAATCATGGCAGAAGGCATCACAGGGCAACAGGAGAGAGAATGAGTACAAGCAGGGGAAATGCCAGACACTTATAAAACCACCAGGTCTTGTGAGAACTCACTCACTATCACAAGAACAGCATGGGGGGAAACTGCCCCCATGATTCAATTACCTCTCAATGGGTCCCTCCCACAACATGTGGGGATTATGGGGATTGCAATTCAAGATGAGATTCAGTTGGGGACACAGGCAAATCATATCAATTTTATTTATTTATGGTGTAATCTTTGTTATTTCCTTTCCTCTAATAACTGTGGGCTTATTTTGTTCTTTTTTTAGTTCCTTGAGGTATAATATTAGATTCTATATTAGAAATATCTCTTCTTTTTGAGGTAGGCATTTTTTGAGATAAGCTTTTTTGATATAAGCATAAAGTTGAAAATTTACTCTTTGGACTGCTTTTGCTCCATCTCTTAGGTTTTGTTATGTTGGATTTTCATTTTCATTTATCTCAAGGCATTTTTTTAATTTCCCTTTTTATTTCTTCTCTCATCCATTGGTTGTTCAAGAACATGTTGTTTTATTTTCATATGTTTCAAAATGTTCAAAGATTTCTCTGATTATTGATTTCTAATTTCAGGCCACTGTGATAAGAAAAGATACATGATATGATTCCAATCTTCTTAAATTTTTAAAGACTTTTTGTGGCCTAACATATGCTCTATCTTGGAGAATGTCCTATGTACACTTGAGAGCAATATACCAGTTGTGGCTGATGAATGGAATGTTTTGTATATGTCTGTTATGTCCATTTGATTTAAAGTTTAATTCAAGTTCAATGTTTTCTTACGGATTTTCTGTCTAAATGAATTGTCCATTGTTGAAAATGGGGTAGTGAGGTCCTTTACTGTTATTGTATTGCACTTTACTCACCCTTTAAATTACTTAATAACTGCTATATGAATTTAGGTGTTCTAATGGTAAATACATACACAATTACTATATCCCCTTAATAAATCGATCAATTTTTCATTATATAATAACCTACTTTGTCTTTTTTAATATTATTTAACTTTAAGTCAATTTTGTCTGACATAGATATGGCTACCCCTACTCTCTTTTAGTTTCCATTGGTGTGGAATTCCTTTTTCTGTCCCTTCACTTCCAGTCTATATGTGTCCTTACTGATAAGATGAGTCTCTATTAGGCAGCACATGGTTGGATAGTGTATTTTTATCTATTAAGCCACTCTATGTTTTTTGATTGGAGAATTTATCCATGAACATTTAATGAAAGTATTAATAAGTAAGGACTTGCAACTGTCATTTAGTAATTGGTGTTCTGGTTGTTTTTTAGAGTCTTGGTTTCTTTCTTCCTCTCTTCTGTCTTCCTTTGTGGTCTTCCTTTGTGGTTTAATGGCTTCCTGTTGTGGTATGATTTGAATCCTGTGGGGTTTTTTTATATTTTGTGCAACTACTATAAGTTTTTGCTTTGTGATTACCATGAGGCTTACATAAACATTTTATGCTTAAAAACAGGCTATTTTAAGCTAATAACAACTTAACTCACAAACAAAAACACTACACTTTCATTCCATCCCCCTACGTTTTTACCTTTTTGTGTAATTTGTATCCCTGAGCAATTAATTATAGATATAATTGTTTTGTCCTTTAACCCTCATAGTTTAGATAAAAATGCTGTACACACTACCCTTATGGTACTAGAGTATTCTAAATATGACTACTTATTATTATACTATTGATGTGTTTACTTTCATATGTTTTATGTTATTAATTAGGAGCCTCTTGTTTCTGCTTACAGAACTCTGTTTAGCAATACCTGTACAGCAAGCCTAGTGAGGATGAACTCTCATGGTTTTTGTTTGTCTAAGAAAATGATTATTTCTCCCTCATTTCTAAAGAACATCTTGGTTGGGGAAAGTATTTTTGCTTGGCAGGTATACTTCCTTCTACATTTTGAATATATTATCTCACTCTCTCTTGCTTTGTAGGTCCTACTGAGAAATCTGCTGGTAGCCATAATGGGATCCCCTTGAATGTAATGTTTCTTATCTCTTGCTGCTTTCTGTATTTTTTTCTTTTCCTTTGATTTTTGTTAATCTGATTATGATGTGCACTCCTCTTTTGAGTGCATTCAGCTGGAAATCTCTGCACTTCCTATTTCTGGATATTGTCATCTTTCCCAAAATTTAGGAAATTTTCAACCATTATTTCTTTAATTATGCTTTCTAGGTGTTTTTCCCTCTCTCTCTTCTCTTTCAGAACTATTATTTTATGGAACTAGTTCTCTTGATGGTATCCCATAATTCCTATAGGCTTTCTTTACTCTCTCATTCTTTTTTCTTCTTCTTCTCTGAATGGATAATTCCAAATGTTCTATCCATGAGTTCACTGATTATTTCTTCTGCTTATTCAAATCTGCTGTTGAAGATCTCTGTTGAGATTTTTAGTCAGGTATTGTATACTTTGTCTCTAGGATTTCTATTTTTTTAATTATTTCTATCTACTTGTCAAATTTCTCATATTGTTTAGGAACTGTTTTCCAAATTCTATTTAATTTTCTATTCATATTTTCCTTTTCTCTCCTAAATCTCGTTTAGAGGATTATTCTAAATTCTCATCAGTCCTTAAATAGGTCTTTTCTTCAGGGTCCATTATTAGAACTTAATTAGTTGCTTTGGGTTATGTCATATTTTCCTCATTTCTAAATAATCTTTTTGTCTTTGCGTTGTTGCCTGTGCATTTGAGGAAACACCCACACATTCTGGCCTTTGCAGGTAGTTTCATGGCAGTGATAAACCCTCACTATCTAGTCTAGCCTTGGACTCTGGGTGTGCCAGCTGGTAGTAACCTTGGCTAGGCAGACCTTGCTATCAGGCTCTCTGGTTGTGCTGGGCTGCTACCTGTGCTCTGGGATCAAGTGGAACTGTTGGCTGTGCCGTGAAGTCCAGTGAGACCACTAACTAGACTCTGGAGTCAGGCAGAGGGGCTGGATAGGTTCTGCAATTACCTCTGATCATGTAGTGTGCAGAATGTCTTCCCTGGCTAGATAGTCAGGCATAGCCATTTGATGGGCTCAGAGGCTGGGTGAGGTCTCTGGAGTCGTGGCTCAACCACTCAGGGTGAACAGGGACAGAGGCTATGCTCCACAGTTATTTATTAAAATGGGCTTGCCTCCCAGCCTAGTGAGGACAAGCAGAGTACTGAGGCTGAGTGGGGTCACTGCTTGGCCACTTGAATTGGGCAAAATCAAATGTTCCCTTCCACAGATATTTGCTGACCTACTCTTGCCTCCAAGCCTGGGGAGGGCTGAAAGAGAGAACTGGAGCTTGACTGAGTCACTGCTCAGCTGCAAGGCCTAGATGGGGCCAGATGCTCCCTCTGCAGATAATCATCAACCTGCCCTTGACTTCTGACCTGGGGAAGGTTTAAGGAGACCACTGGGATGTGACTAGCTCACTGCTTGGCTGCTAAGCCTGCGGAGAGCCAGATGCTGCTTCCGTGGATAATCACTGGCATGCTCCTGCTTCCTGGTCTGGGTAAGGCTCAAGGAGGGCACTGAGGCTGGGTGGAAAAGCTGATGGGGAACTCAAGCCTGGAAGACCTGTTGATTGTGCTTCCTGCAGAGCAATGCTGTTGGCTGGCTTCTCTGGTGGGGAACCTCTGTTGGCTGAAGTGCAGAGCCGACACCAAGATCCTTTCACTGGCAACTGACAGCCCCACCCGTGTTTCTTGTTTCTAACCAATAACAGCTTGTCTAGCCTGCCAGTATCCTCAGTGTTTCCAGTGGGGCACAGAGTACCTCCTGCGAAGGGTCCCAGAATGGTGTGAAGACTGAATGTCTACCTCCAACTCTCTCTTCCTATTGTAATACCATGAAATTTAGTTGAAAAAATACTTTTAAAGTTCTTGCTTCCTTCCCTCTGCCTCATTTTATTTTTACTTTTAAATCTCATCAGAATTACTTCCTGATGGATATATGATGGTATGAATCAAATTTTTGGTGATGAATTGGCTGTATATTTTATTTACATATTTATTTATATTTAGAGACAGGGTCTCACTCAGTCACCCAGGCTGGAATGCAGTGTCATGATAATAGCTCACTGTAACCACAAACTTCTGAGCTCAAGCAATCCTCCCACCTCCATCTCCTGAGTAGCTGGGACTACAGGCATATGCCACCACACCAGCTAATTTTTATTTTTATTTTTGTAGACACAGGGTCTCTACATGTTTCCCAGGATAGTCTTGAACTCTTGGTTTGAAGTAATCCTCCTGCTATGGATTCCCAAACTGCAGAGATTACAGGTGTGCACCACTGTGTCTAGCCTATATATTTTAAATATAGATATAAAATGTTCTTGATATAAGAGATGTCTGCTTTATCTTTTTTTTTAAAATTATACTTTAAGTTTTAGGGTACATGTGCACAACGTGCAGGCTTGTTACATATGTATACATGTGCCATGATGGTGTGCTGCACCCATTAACTCGTCATTTACATTAGGTGTATCTCCTAATGCTATCCCTCCCCCCTCCCCCAACCCCACAACAGGCCCCGGTGTGTGATGTTCCCCTTCCTGTGTACAAGTGTTCTCATTGTTCAATTCCCACCTATGAGTGAGAGCATGAGGTGTTTGGTTTTCTGTTCCTGTGTTAGTTTGCTGAGAATGATGGTTTCCAGCTTCATCCATGTCCCTACAAAGGACATGAACTCATCATTTTTTATGGCTGCATAGTATTCCATGGTGTATATATGCCACATTTTCTTAATCCAGTCTATCATTGTTGGACATTTGGGTTGGTTCCAAGACTTTGCTATTGTTAGTAGTGCCACAATAAACATACGTGTGCATGTGTCTTTATAGCAGCATGAGTTATAATCCTTTGGGTATACACCCAGTAATGGGATGGCTGGGTCAAATGGTATTTTTATCTTTTTTAAAGAGAAGCAAGGGTTCCTGCAATTATGCCCCTAGGAAAATTGGTGGAGAAAGATTTGGATGACTCTAATTTATTCACTAAATTAAGAAAGCTTCTGTTACAACATGTTGGTCACTACTTATAAGGAATGTAGCCATGAGCTTGTTTTTATTAAATATATAAAAATATTTACTTTAGAATCTCTATAACATTGTTAAGAAAGAAAGTCTATTTTCCATGGAAAATCCTAGATTGGGCAATTCTTAAGTCTGGTTGTGTCAATCCTCAGAGAAATCATGGCCCTTAAGAGTGGCCTGCTTAATGGGGCTAAGAAGGGCATTAAAGACCTCATGAGTAAAATTTAAATAATGGAATATTTACTCAGAAATATTTTAGGGCATGCCTGTATTTATAAAATAAATATATTGGCTGCAGAAGGGAAAATGTTCTCATTAACAATATAAACTATCTTGTTCCCAAGGAATAAGTAATAAAGCTACTGAAGATTTTGAGATCTCTAAATAGGCATACAGTGAGTTGAATGCTTACTTGGGTTCAAATTAAAAAGAGAGCAGCTAAAGTTTTCAAAAAGAAACACTTTTTTATATTGACAAGAAGGATCAAGAGACTAAAACACTAAGGTAATGTGGAATAGAAGTATCTGTGAGGTATGTATCCAATACAGATTTTGTTGTATTATTATCCTAGTCTTTTCAGCCACCTCGCTGTCTCGTGAGGTCCCCAGTATATTAAACATGCAGCAATAAACAAAATTACCATTAATTCACTTGAACTGAAGTTTTTCTTCAAATGTGAAGATAATTGCTCACTCTCTTCCCTAAAGAAATTTAGTACAACTTATATTTACTCCAATTGGTAGAGTTATATCACTTACCTATCAAATAATATAGAGAAGGCTCTACAAGCTGGTAACACTTGACTTTGACAGATACTCTCTATGTTCATGTTATTTTGGCAGCTATTCACCATGAATAATGATTTTCCTTATTTCTATTTTTCCTAATGTATGTTATTTTATAATGAATCTCCATTTAGTCTTCCTTCTTATCCAATGCACATATAATTATATTCAGTTATTAGTTGTCTATATTTACCTCATGTGCTATTTTTATTTTAAATTTTAATACTGTTTTAGTCTGTTCTCACACTGCTAATAAAGACATACCCAAGACTGGGTAATTTATAAAGGAAAAAGGTTTAATTGACTCACAGTTCTATATGGCTGGGGAGGCCTCACAATCATGGTGGAAGGTGAATGAGGAGCAAAATCACGTCTTACACGGCAGCAGGCAAGAGAGCATGTCCAGGGGAAAACCCCCTTACAAAACCATCAACTCTCACGAGACGTATTCACTATCACAAGAATAGCATGCGAAAGGTCTGCCCCCATCTTTCAATTAGCTCCCACCAGGTACCTCCCACGACATGTGGGAATTATGGGAGCTACAATTCAAGATGAGATTTGGGTGGCAACACAGCCAAACCATGTCAAATCTATATAGCTTTCTCCATTGAACACTGGCAAAATACTCACAATAAAGCATGCCATCATAGTTCTCATATATTCAAAGAAACTGAGTTACTTGGTATGATTTACTTTACGTGAACTGTTGTTTGAATTTGAATATTAATTTTGCTATTTCTGTCGACATAGTAATTTTTATACTATATTTTATCTGTATTAAAATCTTTAGCAAGGGAATTGATTTGAAACTATTTCTGTCCCTATTAAAGCTCTGTTAGGAAAATCAATAAGTGTGTTCCATATCTTTTCTAACCTTTCAAAGACAAATCCAACTCATTTAAAATCCTTCATCAGAAATTGAGTTATTTCAACCAGAGAGCATGATTTCTAGAAGCATGAGAATTTTTTTTCAATTTCCTAAATAGTCTTCTTTGGGGATATGTCAATATGGCAGTTTCATTTCTTATGTGCTACCTCATCTAATAAAATGTAGCACATCATAACAAATCATATGAAATTAGAAAAGTTGTCAAATGTATGACAATACATTTTCCTCTCTAAATATGTGAAGCTCAGATCTGGGAAGTCTATATCTACTTTAAGAATATGCTTTAAATAACAAAAACCAATTTTGTTTGGCAATGGGGTAGGAGATGGCCAAGAACAGAAAAACATTCGTTTATAAGTATGCCAAATTTAAGGCTAATGAATCAACCTAGTTGTCTAAATATGGATAATAAGTGACAATTAACAATTTCCTTATATTTGAATACTTCTTGGAACATTTATACTATGCAATTTCCCATGATTTGTCAAAGAACTCTTAATACAACAGTAGACTTAGGGGAGACAGAACAGGGCATAACAGTGATATTTTGCAGTTTTCCTTTGGCCTGTCAAGCAGTCAAGCAATTCCTAAGCAGCAGCACAAGGACTTCTGCTAGGCTGGCTTGGAATACTTCCATAAATTTGGCCAGTAAGGAGATCACCACTCCAAAACGATTTTTTTTCAATCAATACATAAAAATTGTATACACCAAGTATACAAACTTAGACCCACAGCAGATCTCAAAACAGCCCTGAATCTCAGCCCCAGCCCCTCTCATCTATGATTGAAGAATAGTTCTTCCCAGCCAGGATCATGCTAGGAGACTTGCCTATCTCCGTTCCCATGGCAGGCTTGCCAACATCAGTCCCGCAGCAAGCCCCAAAACAGCCCTGAATCCAAGTGGATGTAAATAGTTTATTACTTATGGCACAGCAAGCAGCATGAGCTTTATGTTTGCTCATGCTGCTTGCTGTGCCCCCACCAGCTTCACAGGGCAATGAAGAGGCAGACCCAGGTGACTGACTAATGCACACATAAAGAATCTGTGACACAACTAGGGAACATTGAGCTTAGGAAATGTGCAATCTGCCATTCAAGCTCCATCCAGCTGTGGGGATTTAAGACCAACAACCAATAAATGTAGGTCTACCCAGGGCCTTAAACTGATGCTCCTTCACAAGGTGCCACAAAATCTAAGAAAGACTCATTCTCTTAATGAAGTTTAAAACTTATTTTCTTGCTCCAAGCCTGGTGTGCTTAAGGACAACCCCAAAACAATTTTATTCAAAAAGTTAAAATAAGCTACTATATAAAAATTATCCAACACATGGTATGTATCTCAGCAGCCTTAGTTTTCTCCTTCATACCAGTGTGATTTTTTCACCGTTTTTCTTAAGATAATTTTGTCTTAACAAATTTGACTATACTCCAATTTCCCCTGTAAAACAAAGCAAACAACAAACTCTGGTGAGACTGTCTGAACCCCAGTCCATTTGACTAATACTTACTTACTTCCTGTCAGCTCCACAGGCTTAGATTCCAACCTCTGCTCGCTATAATCTTATCATAACTCACATAAATTCCAGGTTTGAAACATCATCATATAGCTAACTATAGCCACCACCTTTTCCTAAGATGCTTCTTAACCACCATACAGCCTTAAATCAGTCCCACTATGAGACCATCAGCCAATCCTGAACACAGATTGCAACTCATGCTTGGATGCAACGATTTAGATTTCTGACTATTCTGTAGGGAGCTATAATATAAGATTAAAAACCTTCTCCAACCTTAACTACGCCCTTTTCCTACCTACCTTTTCTCTTCTTGCCAAGTTGTAGCATATCTCAAGTAATGAAGTTTTATTAACTCTAAAGCAATGAGATAAAGGGAAGACACTAATTTTGCCAAATCTCCTACTTGTTTCCTTCATCAATTTAGAGAAAATATCCCTTTCAGGAACTGCTGGTGTAGCATTTATATTTCTTAATAAGCTTCTATTTGATCAGCTTTCCTGCAGATAGCTATAAACATCAGAGAGGGGAATACTTGAAGGCACTGCACAGAGAACATTCACAGAGAGTCAGCACATAGAAGGAAGTTCACAGGGTGAATTTTCTATTGCTGTAACTGCCAGACTAAAGACAAACAACCATTGGCAGCTGGCGATAAATGCATATTCTTTCTGACTCAAAGAACCAGAAGGCAGAGTTTGGAGAAAAAGACAAAACAAAAAAGCTGGTATAAAGTGAGCGATAACCCAAGAAAAGAGAAAGCAAGAGAGTGAGCTGAAAGTCTGAGTAAACTGTTTGACTACTGAAATCTCTTGCTGAATCTTAACCATACATGAGTAGGACAAATTCAGAGTAGGCTAGATAAAGAGAACTAATCTGAGATTTGAACTTTGAACTGATGCCAAAAATACAAAGTTTACAGTTTGAGTACATCCAAGTTAATTGCTTGCTTTGAAAAAAATCAACAGACTTTAGAAGAACATAATAGAACTAGAGCATCTGTGATACCACATTCAAAATACCTTGAATATATGCCAAAATTTCTCAATATATGGAGAAACAAGAAAATGAGACTCTTTACAGCAGGTGCCTGGACTAGGCTTGGGCAAGCTAGAACATAAAATTTAGAGGCACTTACTTACAGGGTCCTGCAAGTGTGGGTCAGCACCTGAGAGTAAGGATATCCTTAAAATTTGTGTTCCAGGTGTCTTGTTTGCCTCATGCAAGTTCCAGCCCTAATCAACAGATAGCATTCAGTGATAAACCATGTTGTAATTAGCAGACAAGGATTTTAAAGCAGTTATTACAAGTAGGCTTAGTATCCCAAAGGAAACTAAAATCATAATTTTTGAAAAGGTAGAAAATTTCAGGAGAAACATAGAAAATGTAAAAAAGAACCAAATGGATCTTTTAGAATTGATAACACACATATGAAATAAGCAATTCATTGGATGGGATTAAGAGCAGAATATTGATGACAGAGGCAAGAATTAGTGAACCCTGAAGACAGATTGATAAAGACTATTGAATCTGAAGAACAAAAAAGAAATGTGACCCTGCACTTGCAGGATCCTGTGATTAAGTACCTCTAAATTTTTATGAGGCACTCAATAAAAGAAGAAAGGGGAGACTTTCTCAGTGAACTCAACACAAATACTAAAGCCTCAGAGGTATGCGTGACCATGACATGTTTGCTGGACACTAATGCCCTTTGCTGGTTCCAAATCTTTTGTGTCTCTTTTCAGTGGGATGGGTGTGGGAGGTCTTTAGTGGGCACTTCTCCTGCAAGAGAGTGTCACATAATTTGTGGAGGATTAATAGTTTGAGGAAACACATCTTCCAAAGACTCCAATTTAAGTTTAAAACTATGATATCATATAAATTATAAGATGGTTCAATGACTTAAACTATAATGTTAGAATATTTTGTTTATAAGATCAAGAAGTGGGGCTTCAATTGTTTAGCAAGAGTGATACTACACCAATCAAAGAGGGAGAATATCATCTGTAATTTTTCAAGAAACTTCTATGTGTAAGGCATTCTGCTAGAATCTGTACACTATATTTTATTGAACTTCCCCAAACAAGTTAGGAAATAGATATTTTACCCCGATTTTTCAGATGAAAAATAGTCTCTGTCAGGTAATGTTACTTGCCCAAGTGATAAAGTGTAGATTCAAACACAAGTCTACCTGATGTTTTCCAAACTACAAATGTTTTATTCCACCAGCCTCCTTTTTACCCTAACAGCTTTTAACTCAAGGTCTTTTTCTTTTTTATTTGCTGTTTTAAGTACATATATATATATATACATAAAATTATAGGGATATGGACATACAGGTAAGAAGATAAAAATTAGCTTGTTACTCATATTTTTTTAAGTTAAGTGACCTGTAAGTTCAGTTGATTATCTGCAACAGAATATTGCAGATAATTGTTTCCTTCGAGCCCTAGCATATAGGACATATTTTACTGTTGAAATGATCTCTGGAGTTTACAAAGCACTAAGTCACATAATAGAATATAATAGTTGTTTATCACATTTCATTGTCTATCACCTCTCATTATTTTTTATTTTATAACATATTGTTTTTCATAAGTTATTTGATATCACTAATTATAACACAATTCCACAAGGAGAAATGCTCTTCTCTTTAGAAATGTCTGCTTCACATTATGGTTTCCCAAAGAATATCGGAGTAAAAAGTGCAGGGGCTGAACACAGTTTAATTTCAGAAAACATCTGGAAAATAAATGTGATAACCAGCATTAAATTTCTCAAAGACAGTTCCTTCTGAAAGCTATGTAAGTTTCTTTATTTCTATGTGTGCAGCTGCTGCTATCCTTTAAGTATGGTATATATCTTTGTCCTTGGGACAGCACTCAGAAATGGTATTGCCATCTCTCGAAACACTCATAGCCACAATCTGCCACTTGTGCATATTTCTTTTTTACCACCTGGTTGTCCTTTTTTCCCACCACCTTCATAAATGCCTTCTCATTCACTGCCCTCTCTACAGATTATTTTATGCTTGTTTCCCAGATCCTTTAACATCAACTACCCATATGAGTTCAAAGTGATTTATGATTTAATTCTTTTTCCAATTCCCATTCCCTTCTCTGGTCATATTAATACGTTCAGCCTTTAGACAACCAGGAAATAACGTCTCCCTCTTTTCCATATATTTTATGAATAATGGCATTTTGGTTGATCACTTCTGTGACCTGGTTTTCCACATCTAAAGCTCTCCAAATGCCAGGGCTCATGCTCAGATGCTCTTATATTTCAAATGTGTGCAGTAGCCCTATAAAGGCAATGACCTCTTTCTTCCCCTGCTAAAATTTTACATCAAATATCTTACTCCTATTTTTTCATGAATACAATCTAGCTGGCCCATATTTAGGCATCTTTTCAGCTTTCATATTATTTTACATTATTGTTCTAGCCATGTTATAGTGTTCTAATTATTGTTTCATTTCAAAACAAAATGTAATCCTGTCTGGCTTCAGAAAATTACCATTCGGTTTCCCTAACATTCTCTTTTTTGTTTCAGGCAAACACTTTCTACTATAATTCAAGAATCAACTTTCTATATTCTGGATACATGATGATTTGCAAGTATTTTTCCTAGTCTGCAACTTATCTTTGCATTCTTTTAACTGTTCTTTCCAGAACAGTTAATTTCTGTTTAGAAATTCAGAACATGTTTTTAATTTCTACATGTAGATGAATGTTTAAATCAGCACTATTTATAATTGCCCCTAACTGGAAATACCCCAAATATGCTTTAGTTGGTTAATGAGTAAATGGGTACATCTATGTAAAGGCATTCTACTCAATAATAAAAATGAATGAATTCTAGAACACAGCCTGAACCTCAAAGGCATTTTCCTGCATAAAAGAAGTAAGTCCCAAAAGGTTACATACCATATGATTCCATAATACGATATTCCAGAAGAACACAAACAAACAAACAAACAAAAAGACTGGAACAGAGAATAAATCAGTTGTTGCCAGTAGTTAAGAGTAGGGGAAAGGGTCTGCTTAAAAGCGTCCACATGAGGGAGTTCTTTGGCATGTTGCAATTGTTCTGTATCCAGGTGAGATAAGGGTAACAAAAATCTATGCATACATTAAAACTTGAAGAACTCTGTGCCAAAAGCAGCGAATACTACTGTATATATTTTTTTTTAAAAGAGTAAAATAATAAAAGTTAAAATGAAATTAACTGTGATATTACTTACAGGCATTAGGCAATCTTCATTGTGTCTGCATGGTAGTAAATTCCAAGAGAGGATGCAATGCTCTCTTTACCAGCTAAACCAGCAGTACCCAACCTTTTTGGCACCAGGTTCTGGGGAAGGCAATTTTTCCACAGAGGAGGTGGGGGTTGCGGGGGAAATGGATGAAACTGTTTCACCTCATATCATTAGATTCTTATAAGGAGCTCGCAACCTAGATCACTCACATGCATGTGCAGTTCACAATAGGGTTCGTGCTCCTATGAGAATCTAATGCCACTGCTAATCTGACAGGAGGCAGAGCTCAGGCCTTAATGTTGGCTTGCCTGTCACTCACTTCCTGCTGTGTGGCCAGGTTCCTAACAGGCCACAGACCAGTAAAAGACCAGGCCTGGGGGTTGGAGTCCCCTGAATTAAACAATTTGTGCATTTTTAATTAAATAAAATGTCCTTGCAATTGCAATTATGCTTAATTACCAAAAGTCATTCCAATTGAAAAACAAATGCTCATAATTATCATGATTATATAAAATTCACATTAGAAACAATATTACTATTTGGCCAATTTAGGATGGTATCCACATAAATCATTATTTTTTAAGTCTTTGGCCTTCCATCAACAGATTTATAGCTTTGTATCTTATACTAACTTCCCTTATTCAGCTTGTTTCATCTGACTTCATTGTTATTTCCCTTGTGCATATTCCCAAATTCAATGATTTTTATTTATGTTATTTCTTTCCACTAAATTATCAACTAATTCAGAGAATAAATAAGGGCTCTTCCTACCTGTCCTTCTTTTGAATCAGGAAGTAAAGTTCCATATGGCCAAACTTTTTATTTAGAAAAAGGTAGAGGGTGTTAATTGAAAAGTAGCACAGAAGATAAGTGATAATTATTTACCCTTAGCAATATGAACCCAATAGTCTAACGATGGAATACCATATATTTACTTCTTGTGTGCAATACTGGAGAATGGTTATCATGTCTTAGGGATGCTAACACATAGCTTGGTAATTTGGGAAGAAGCATGATTTAACTGGACAGTACTTAACGTGACAAAATGTGGGGCGTCACTCTTAGCCCTCCAAGGCGAGAAAAGATTAGGCAGAAGCTACATTCTAATGGACAGTCAATATGTGCAGAAATAGTTTCAGACACTTTCTAAACGGGAAATATTTCACCATATATTTCTGTGAGTTACTAACACATTTTAAATTAAGAAAAATAGGCTGTAAGCAATAGAAGATTATAAGCGAAATAATTATTATGCTCTTTTTCATTTCTACTGGTACAGACAACTAGTACTAAAGAGATCAATGCTGTTTAAATTTCTCTTATGTGCCAAAGAAATGCATGTTAAGTTACAACTCTGGTTGTCTCACTGATGAAAAGATTACTAATGCCTTTTTAGGTACAAACATGTTTAATTATTCTGGTTATGAAATTATATTCCCATACTGAAGTAACTAATCTCTTAATGATGAAGTTCATTATTTCTATAAGGAAGTTTGAAGGAAACATATTGGTATTTCTAACCTAAAAATAAATAGAAAAGTATCCACATGTGTAAACTTTAATTGATTAATTAAATTGCAAGGAATAGCATAAACTGTGCTCTACTCCAAATAACATGCTCTTAATCAATATTTTTGAAGGTATTAAGAATAGGAAGTAGGGGACTTTTTTTTCCCAGACCAGACTACCAGGAATATAAGGTAGAATTAGAGCAGTAAATATTATAACATTTCCTAGTACTCACTCCCCCAAAAAGGGCTTTCTAAAATCAGAAATATTCAACAAAATAATATGTTTGTATTTTTGTGGGGGCTGGGAGAACAGGTCTCACTCTGTCATCCAGGCTGGGGTGCAGTGGTGCAATCATGGCTCACTGCAGTCTCAATCTCCTGGGCTCAAGCAATCCTCCCACCTCTGTCTCCTGAGCAGCTGGGATTACAGGCATATGCCACTATGTCCAGCTAATTTATGTATTTTTTGTAGAGATGAGGTTTCTCCATGTTGTCCAGGCTGATCTTGAATTCCTGAGCTCAAGGAATCCACCTGCCTCAGCCTCCCAAAGTGCTGGGATTACAGGTATGAGCTGCCATGCCTGACCAAAACTTGTTTACATAAAGAAGACCTTGTGAAATTTAGAAAAATGCAAGGGTATAATCAGGATAGAGATGAATCAAAATCTTAGAAATCATAAAGAAATTTTATTAAACATAGACAAGGAATCTCTATTACCACACTTCATAGTGGTAAGAGTTGAGAGAGAGAATTGAGGATCATAGAGCATTGTATGCAGCTAGCCAGCAAGGTTCCCTCTTGAATTATCGGTGTTCAAAGGGGATCAAGCAAAAGCAAGAGATGGAAATCTTATTCAAATAAATAACTGAGTCTTCCAAAACATGGTTTCCAAAAGTTGAGAAAGATATAAACATCCAAGTACAGGAAAGTCTAAGAAAACAAAACAGATTTAACCCAAATAAAACTACCCCAAGGAATATAATAATCAAACTCTCAGAGGTCAAGGACAAAGAGAAGATACTAAAAGCAGTGAGAGATAAGCAAATAACATATAAAGGAGTTCGAATTCAACTGGCAACACACTTCTCAACAGAAATCATACAGGCCAGGAGGGAGTGATACAACATTTTCAAAGTGCTCAAAGAACAAAATTGTAACCCAAGAATAGTGTATCTAGCATAATTGTCATTCAGATTTGAATGAAAGATAAAGTCTTCCTCAGACAAATAAAAGCTGAGAAAATTCAACACCAGTCCCACCTTGCAAAAAATACTAAAGGGAGTTCTTCGATCTGAAAAAAAAAAATAACATAAAAGTGCCAAAGAAAACTTTTCAAGGTATAAAACCTACTAGTAAAATTAAGTGTATGGACAAATCCAGAATAACCTATTATTAAATTTGTGGTTTGCAATACATGCATAACTCTAATACGAAGTCCCAAAGACAAATCTATCAAAAACTATAATAGCCACAGCAACCCATTAAGAAATAGGTAATATAAAATATTAAATTGAGACAACTAAAAGTCAAAATGCTGGGGGATGGAGTTAAAGTGTAGAATTTTTATGTGTGTTTTTCTTATATTTATTTCTATTCTTTTATTTGTGATCTAAGATAAGTCATCCCCTCTGCAAAATAACTTGTTATATCTATGATATGTATTTTGTAAGCCTCATGGTAACCAAAGTATAAAAACCTATGGCAGATCCCCTAAAAATAAAAAGCAACATACTACCAGAGATAATCACTTAATCACAAAGGAAGACAGTAAGAAAGAAAGAAAAAGAAGAGAGGAGCTTCAAAACAATGAGAAAACAAACCACAAAAATGACAATAATAAGCTCTTTCTTATCAATAATAACACTAAATGTAGATGGTCTCAATTCTCCAATTAAAAGGCATAGAGTGGCTGAATGAGTAAATAAACCCAACCATATGCTGCTTTCAGAAAACTCACTTCACCTGTAAACACACATAGACTAAAAATTCAGGGATGAAAAAAGACATTCCATGCAACTGAAAACCAAAAAAAAAAAAAAAAAAAAAAAAAAAAAGGCAAGAACAGCTATACCTACATCAAATAAAACAGACTATAAATCAAAGGCTGTAAAAAATTTTAAGGGGAAGGACTACGTTGCAGCTACAACTTGGACAGACAGAGCAGTGTTTGGAGGCTCACATAGTGAATTTTAGCTCTAGAACAACTTCAGGAATAAATCAGCAAACCCAAGAGGACCTACAAACACTCTGAAGGAAGCAGATTGCTCCTGCAGGACCCAGGACACACCCCAAATACTGTGTGGTATCCACGGCTGAGAGACCCATAGATGGTTCACATCACAAGACTCTGTGCAGACAACCCCCAGTACCAGCCTGGAGCCTGGTAGACTTGCTGAATAGCTAGACCCAGAAGAGAGACAACAATCACTACAGCTCAGCTCTCAGGAAGCCACGTCCTTTAGGAAAAAGGGGATAGTACTATATCAAGGGAACACCCCGTGGGACAAAAGAATCTGAACAACAGCCTTCACCCCTAGACTTTCCCTCTGACAGAGCCTACCCAAATGAGAAGGAACCAGAAAACCAACTCTGGTAATATGACAAAACAAGGCTCTTTAACACCCACCAAAAATCACACTAGCTCACCATCAATTGATCCAAAAGAAGAAGAAATCCCTGATTTGTCTGAAAAACAATTCAGGAAGTTAGATATTAAGCTAATCAGGGAGGCACCAGAGAAAGGCAAAGCCAATGCAAGGAAATTCAAAAAAGATACAAGAAGTGAAGGGAGAAATATTCAATGAAATACATAGGATAAATAAAAAAACATCAAAACTTCAGGAAACATTGGACACACTTACAGAAATGCAAAATACTCTGGAAAGTCTCAGCAATAGAATTGAACAAGTAGAAGAAAGAAATTCAGAGCTCGAAGACTAGGTCTTTGAATTAACCCAATCCAACAAAGACAAAGAAAAAAGAATAAGAAAATACGAACAAAACTTCCAAGAAGTCTGGGATTATGCTAAACGACCAAACCTAAGAATAATTGGTGTTCCTGAGGAAGAAGAGAAATCTAAGTTTGGAAAACATATTTGGGAGAATAATCAAGGAAAACTTCCCCAACCTTGCTAGAGACCTAGACATCCAAATACAAGAAGCACAAAGAACACCTGGGAAATTAACTGCAAAAAGATCATTGCCTAGGCACATTGTCATCAGGTTATCTAAAGTTAAGACAAAGAAAAGAATCTTAAGAGCTGTGAGACAAAAGCACCAGGTAACCTACAAAGGAAAATCTATCCAATTAACAGCAGATTTCTCAACAGAAATCCTACAACTAGAAGGGATTAGGGCCCTATCATCAGCCTCCTCAAACAAAACATTATCAGCCAAGAATGTTGTATCCTGTGAAACTAAGCATCATATATGAAGGAAAGATACAGTCTTTTTTCAGACAAACAAATGTTGAGAGAATTTGCCACTACCAAGCCACCACTACAAGAACTGCTAAAAGGAGCTTTAAATCTTGAAACAAATCCTAGAAACACATCAAAACAGAACCTCTTTAAAGCATAAATCTCACAGGACCTATAAAACAAAAATACAATCAAAAAAAAAAAACAAGATATACAGGCAAAAAATAATCACCATGAATGGAGTAGTACCTCACATCTTAATACTAACATTGAAAGTAAATGACCTAAATGCTGCGCTTAAAAGATATAGAATTGCAGAATGGATAAGAATTCACCAAAAAACTATCTGCTGCCTTCAAGAGACTCACCTAACACATAAGGACTCACATAAACTTCAGGTAAAGGGGCAGAAAAAGATATTCCATGTAAATGGACACCAAAGGCCAGGAGGAACAGCTATTCTTATATCAGACAAAACAAATTTTAAAGCAACAGCAGTTAAAAAAGACAAAGAGGGACATTATATAATGACAAAGGGCCTGTCCAACAGGAAAATATTCCAATTTTTAGTATATATGCGCCTAACACTGGAGCTCCCCAATTTATAAAACAATTACTCAAACCTAATGAGATAGCAACAGAGTAATAGTGGGGAACTTCAATACTCCACTGATAGCACTAGGCAGATCATCAAGACAGAAATTCAACAAAGAAACAATGGGTATAAACTACATCCCAGAACAAATGAACTTAACAGATGTTTACAAAACATTCTACCCAACAACTGCAGGATATACATTGTATTCATTAGCACATGGAATGTTCTCAAAGATAGACCAATGATAGGCCACAAGACAAGTCTCAATAAATTTAAGAAAATTGAAATTATATCAAGTACTCTCTCAGACCACATTGAAATAAAACTGGAAATCAATTCCAAAAGGAATCTTCAAAACCATGCAAATATATGGAAATTAAATAACCTGCTCCTGAATGACCATTTGGTCAACAATGAAATCAAGATGGAAATTGAAAAATTCTTTGAACTGAACGACTATAGTGAACAACCTATCTAAACCTCTGGAATACAGCAAAGGCGATGCTAAGAGGAAAGTTCATAGCGGTAAATACCTACACCAAAAAGTCTGAGGAAGCACATATAGACAATCTAACGTCATAACTCAAGGAACGAGAGAAACAAGAACAAACCAAACCCAAACCTAGCAGAAGAAAGGAACTAACCAAGATTGGAGCAGAACTAAATAAAATTGAAACCAAAAAGAAAATACAAAAGATAAATGAAACAAAAAGCTTTTTGTTCTTTGAAAAGATAAATAAAATTGATGGACCAATAGCAAGATTAACCAAGAAAAGAAGAGAAAATCCAAATAAGCTCAATTACAAATGAAACGGGAGATATTACAACTGACACCACAGAAATGTAAAAGATTATTCAAGGCTACTATGCCTCCACCCAAAAGCTACTTAAGCTGATAAGCAACTTCAGCAAAGTTTTAGGATACAAGATCAATGTGCAAAATTTGTTAGTATTCCTATACACCAGCAACAGATAAGCAGAGAGGCAAATCATGAACAAACTCCCATTCACAACTGCTACAAAGAGAATAAAATACCTAGTAATAGAGCTAACAAAAAAGTGAAAGACCTCTTCAAGAAGAACTAGAAACCACTGCTGAAAAAATTCAAAGAAGACAGACACAATCAAATGGAAAAGCATTCCATGCTCATGGATAGGAAGAATCAATATCGTGAAAATGGCCATACTGCCCAAAGTAATTTATAGATTCAATGCTATTACCATTAAACTACTATTGACATTCTTCTGAACTGGAAAAAAAGTATTTTAAAATTCATATAGAACCAAAAAAGAGCTCATATAGCCAAGAGAATCCAAAGCAAAAAGAACAAAGCTGCAGGCATCACACTACCTGACTTCACATTATACTACAAGGCTACAGTAACCAAAGCAGCATGGTATCAGTACAAAAACACATTGACCAATGGAACAGAATAGAGAACCCAAAAATAAGAGCACACAGCTGCAACCATCTGATCTTTGACAAACCTGACAAAAACAAGCAATGGGAAAAGGATTTCCTATTTAATAAATGGTGTTGGGAAAACTGGCTAGCCATATGCAAAAAGTTGAAACTGGACCCCTTCCTTACACCTGATACAAAAATTAACTCAAGATTGATTAAAGACTTATATGTAAAACCCAAAATTATAAAAACCCTAGAAGAAAACCTAGGCAATACCATTCAGGACGTAGGCATGGACAAAGACTTCACAACGAAAACGCCAAAAGCAATGGCAACAAAAGCTAAAATTGACAAATGGAATCTAATTAAACTAAAGAGTTTCTGCATCTCAAAAGAAGTTATCATCAAAGTGAACAGACAATTTACAAAATGGAAGAAAACTTTTGCAACCTATCCATCTAAAAAAGGTCTAATATCCAGAGTCTACAAGGAACTTAAATAAATTTACAAGAAAAAAAAATCATTAAAAAGTGGGCAAAGGACATGAACAGACACTTCTCAAGAGAAGACATTCACACGGCCAATAATCATATGGAAAACAGCTCAACATCACTGATCATCGGAGAAATGTAAATCAAAACCACAATGAGATACCATCTCATACCAGTCAGAATGGTGATTAGTAAAAAATCAAGAAACAACAAATGCTGGCAAGGATGTATAGAAAAAGGTACACTTTTGCACTGTTGGTGGGAATATAAATTAGTTCAACCATCGTGGAAGATGGAGTGGCGATTCATCAAAGATCTAGAAGCAGAAATATATTTGACCCAGCAATCCCATTACTGGGTATATACCCAAAGGAACATAAATCATTCTATTATAAAGATACATGTATATGTATGTTCATTGCAGCACTCTTCACAATAGCAAAGACATGAAATCAACCCAAATGTCCATCAGTGACAGACCAGATAAAGAAAATGTGGTAAGTATACACCATCAATATTATGCATTCATAAAAAGGAATGAGATCATGTCCTTTGCAGGGACATGGGTGGAGCCGGAGGCCATTATCCTCAGCAAACTAGCACAGGAATGGAAAACCAAACACTAAATGTTCTCACTTATAAGTGGGAGCTGAACAATGAGAATACATGGACACATGGTAGGAAACAACACACACTGGGGCCTGTTGGGGGCTGCAGGGAAAGGGAGAACATCAGGAAGAATATCTAATGGAGGCTGGGCTTAATATCTAGGTGATGGGTTGATCTGTGCAGCAAACCACCATGGCACACGTTTACCTAGGTAACAAACCTGCATATCCTGCGCCTGTACCCTGGAAATTAAAATAAAAGTTGAAGCAAAGTAAATAAATAAATACATAGTTAAACTCCAGATTAGAAGAATTTATTTGCAAAATGAAAATATGACAAAGGGCTAATATATAGGATATATAAAGAATTCTCATAGCACAATAATGAAAGTAAATACATAAAAACATAAAATATATAAATAGCTCACAAAAGAAAACATATAAATGGCCAATGAGTGGATGAAAAAGTGATCACTACCATTAGTCATCAGGGAAATACAAGTAGAACCACTATTGGAAGCCTCTACAAGAACAAACCTCTACACGAAAAAAAACACAAGAACGGCTAAAATTAAAAATATAGACAATACTAACTGATGGTGAGGATGTGGAGCAACTGAAATTTTCATACATGGTTGGTAGGAATATAAAAAGGTAAAAACACACAGTTTCTTATTTAAAAATCAAAACAGCCTTGAACAGATACGATCATAGCAGTTTATTCATTATACCTGAAAACTAGAAACTTCTCAGATCTTAATCGGAGAACAGATAAAATGTGGTAAATTCTATAGTGCAATACTATTCAACAAGACAAAGAAAATAAGTATTAACACATACAACATTGATGAATCTCAAAGCAGTATGTGGAGTGAAAGTAGCTTTACCCAAAACAGTAAATACCACAATTCAATTTATGTAAAATCCTAGAAAAGGCAAAACTACTCCAGCCAGAAAAAAAAAAAAAAAATTGGTGGAGAAGGGGGATTGAATGGGAAAGCAAATGAAGGAATCCTTCTGAGCAAAGTTCTGTATCTTGATAGGGTTTTGAGTTACACAGTTACATGTATTTGTGCGTACTCATCTCATAGTATACTTAAGATTTGGACATTTCGTTTTATATAAATCTCACCTTAAAATATATAAACGTAAATATAAAAGTCTAGTTAATATGTGCTCTTAAATATTTGAGAGAAATTAGTTGAGAGGAAATACTGATGTTTGTAACTTACTTTGAAATGCATTAATAGAAAGGACTGATGGGTGGATATAGGGCTGTATAGATGGGTAAGTATGTGATAATGCAATATATAGAATAGAAAAGCCTAGGTAGAGGGTAAATATAAATTCATTCAAATTTTCTTAATGTTTGAAAATTTTTTTCAAAAATAATGAGATAAAAAAGGCACTTACAGAAAATGTGATTTTTACGTGATTTTAAAATGTTTCAGTATGACATTTTAAAGGTGATGGGGATTTGGTCATAAATTTAGAAGAACTTAGGTTTCAGTGCCAACTCAACTACCTTCCATCTGTAATTTTATATGCAAGTTACTTTGCCTTCCTCAGCTGTGGTTTTCTATTCTATAAAATGAAGATACTAACACTTGAGCAACAGAGTTGTAAAGATATTTACCTAGGAGAGAATACTAGCCCTTTGATAACTACAGATTCCTCATCATTCCTCAGTGTTTCTTATAAAATGCCATTCCAGGGAACACCATGCCCATGGGAAAGATTTTTGTTGTGAGTTACAATATTTGACCTTGTGGACTTCTAATAATCTCTTTCAACTCTAGGATTTCATGTTTGGACATGTCAGTGAGTCCTAAGTGAATTTCTTACATTTTTATATAGGGTCTCTACATTTATTTTTCTTAAGATATGGGCATTTCATTGTATACAAATATTACCTTAAAATAAATATGAAACTCTAGTTAACAATATGCATGCTTTAAGTATTCGAATATAAGCACTACTTACCAGGACATTATTGAATTTAATGTTATATACCCATTCCACTTCCTAATGATATGAAATGCTGCACACTGCTTTAAAAATCTGCAGTGAAATTGCATCAGCCCCAAAAGAACGAAGTAAATATACTTATTAATCTTATACTTAATTTATAAACTTTCTTCTCAAGGCTATTTAAGCTATCAAAGGCACTTTGAGGAAAATATCATTGATAGAATGGAGGAAGCTTAAGCTCTGGAAAATGAATCCACCTATAAATCTCCACAACAAGAAAAAAACTCTAAGATTTATTGGCTGGTAAAAGGAAAAAAAAAATGTTATCAGGTCCAAAATGAATGTTTACATATATATATATATGTGTGTGTGTGTGTGTGTATATATATACATATATATGTATGTATATATATACATATGTATATGTATGTATATATATACATATGTATATGTATGTATATACATACATATGTATATATGTGTATATATGTATATACCATACATACATATACCATACATATACCATATCTGTATATATGTATATATGTATGTATATATATACATATGTATATGTATGTATATATATGTGTATATGTATGTATATATATACATATGTATATGTATGTATATATATACATATGTATATGTATGTATATATGTATGTGTATATATACATACATATATATGTATGTATAGTTTTTTTCATTCACCACAAAAACTTGACTCTGACACAGAAATGATTGCTCAAAACTCCTTTGAATGAGCTTACATGAGAAATACTCACTTCAGGCTTCACCATCATCATGGCTACCATCAATTATAGCTCATTACACTGACTCTAAAGAGAAAGAGCCTGGCTTGGAACACCAATGCAGCTGGGAAACACTGTGAAGATTTGGCATGCAGAACACAGACGTAATTTTTGCTGCTTTCTATCAGAAGAGGTTTTATAGCAAAAAGTAATGTAATTGATATACTTAACACAGTTGTAAAACAGGTTTAAATTTGAGTTTGCTTGTTTTTGGAATTAAGCCTTTTGGGAAATAACGAAGTACTCGTTTATTGTATGCCTTTTAGAAATTTCTTAAGAATGAATAGTTTTTATTAGCAAATTAAATGTGTTGGATATAAAGTTTATTATCTTTGAACACAGGAAAATTCTGTTTGGACACATCTTTTAAAATATTACGTTTTGAGGAAATCTGTTTTCCCTGTATCTAAAACAAACTACTTCAAAATGCTGACATTTTGAATTTTACTACAATGTTATATTTTGGGTGTATGTGTGCTGAAAAACTAATGCAATTTTTCCATTTCTCCAGCCTTATTCTTTAAGCTAAGCTCCTCTAATTCATTTGAATTTCTATTCTCATATGTAATAGAACATTTATAGATGAACATATTCAAATAGAATATATCTACAAATAAGCTACATTTGTAGCATTTTTGCTTAATGTGAAGGTTGCCCTCTTAAGAGAGCCTCCCCCAACATTTGTATCTGTAGAGCTAAGAGAAATTGCTATAACACAAAACATCACCAATGCATTTTTACAATGCTGAATGGCTCCTCACAGAAACAAGAAAAAGAAAATTCAGAATATGAAACTTTTAATATGTGTTGTACATATTAAGAATATATGAAAAAAGAAATTTTACTAAGAGTTATCACATCAAGTTCTTCCAGAAAGGTAGTTCTCAACCAGAGGTGACGTTGTGCCCCAAGCAAACATTTGGCACAATCTAGAGACATTTTTGGTTGTCACGACCGGGAGAAAGGGATGCTTACAGGCATACAGTGGGTAGAGAATAAGAATGCTGCTAGACATCCTACAATGCACAGGACAGTTTCCCAAAACAAAGAATTATCCATCCTGAAGTGCCAATAATGTTGCAATTGAGAAACTCTGTTCTGGAGGCAGAAAATCAGTCAAATCACAAAGCCTATTTAATGCATAAAATATCAACAATAAAACAATTGATAAGAGTGGTAATATACATAACAACCTACACATTAAAACTGTGGTGACAGAGACAGCAATAAACCTTTCCAGCTTCACTTTAATTTTTAGGCTTCCCAGGCTGACACAACAGGGGGTTGAGTCATGTACACAGAAGATGTTAGTGTGCCTTCCTTGTAAGGAAGACAGAAAGTCATCTGTGTGGCAGACTGCTTCCTCTGGTTCCATCACCACCACCAGCACCACAACACTGTTCCAGCAAAAATTTCCCAGGCAATAAGGTGAGAAGTAGTAGAACTGCTGAGAATCAGTCATATAGTTGTAACCTACACTTCTCTGCTAACCCAGGCTCCATTGCTGGATTGACAGACCATTTTCCCTTTATTTTTGCAGACTACCATTTGTTGGAGCCGTCTCTTTAACCATTATATTGAACTCTGTTGGTGAACAGAGATCAAAGACTTTTTTCCTGGGCTTCCTGACCTCTATGTACATGAGGAGATGCAAATGGATATTTGAGTTTGAGGCACCACCCAAGCCCACTTACTAGAGGCATCTAGCCCCCACTATAAATCTTCACACCAGAAGCCACCGAGCCACATCACGGTAAGTTCTGATTTAAAAAACCTCTCCAAGTATTGTTAAATGTCCATGCCTTACAAGTAAGGCTCGAACTGGTGCCTAAAGTAGAAAAATTCGTAGTAGAAATAACCATCACACAGGCTATCTTAATAAGCTTATTGTTGCTAGAGTTTGCTGGTTATTCACATATTGTCCACCTACCATGCCCCAGATACATTTTCAGCCTTTCTCTGTACCCTTTCTCTATTCTTCAAGAGTCTGAACCCTACA